>NC_000002.12:57160049-57463079 GCF_000001405.40 Homo sapiens
ATGGACAGTGATACAATCTATTAGACAAGTTAGCCTGTAAAATAAGGTGTGAAAAATATATCAACAACTTATCTGGTGACATTCAGAGATAAGTGTTGTTGCAGTGTGTAACAAGGAATATGAAGTGGATAATATTTTGATGAGCATAAATAAATTTTTTAAAGTTTTATAAGTGTTTATCTTGGTATAATTTGATCACTCTATTTTCTCGGTCATGACAGGTACTTTTCATGCTTAACCAGTACGTTATAGAGGTATATAGTAACTATATAAGCAAACAAAAGGGGAGGAACTAGTTTGGCTTTCACAAGGGAGAATCAGAAGATATATCAGAGAAGTGTGATCCTCAGTTTGGTTATAAAAGGTGAGTATAATGGCAATAGATTGAGATAAAAAGAAACAAATGTGCAAAATCCCAGTAGAACACAAGAACATGGTATATTTGGAAAACAACGAGAATTTCAGTAAAGGTTTATAATATATCTCTGCTAGACATGCTGCATGGCCACTCCAAAGACCCTTCTACTCTGATAGAGTGTCCCTAAATTATCAGTAGAATTGAGTTGACAGCCACTGCAGGCACTATCTGTGAACGCACGTATCTCCCAAAGGCATATATCACACAAACGGGAGTATCAGCTGCATCTGATGCCCTCACTGGGGATAATTTGAGTGACCTGTAGGTGAGACCAATAAGAGAAAGAACATTATTCTGGTTGCAGATCCAGAATAATACAGAAACTGTAGTGCACATCCAAAGCATGGTTAAATTAAATTGTCAACTCAACCTCCTGCTACCTCTCAACTGTATGCTAAGAATAATTGTCAGGCCCTGGGATTTAATTTTACCCTCCTTGTGAACAAGTTAGCCTGTTGTTACTGTTTCATGGATGCTGGCAGTAGACATGAGACTCCTGGGTGAGAGGTAAAGAGAATTTCATTACTCATGGCAGGATGAACATCATGTTTACATTATTTCTTCTTGTTCCACTGGTTCAATGGGGCTAATGCAGAGGGCCCAGATGGTTGCTGCACATGCAGTGGGTTGCATTACAGGAGAATAGTGAGCATCGATAATTGACTAACCTATAGTAAGCAATAAGCAAGCACACACTGTTCTAGAGGGAGACATGATCTCATACCTCATGGTTACTCATTGTAAACACAACTCTGGCAAAGGAAAAGAGCTGTCAGGGCCTTGCATGTTTGGTGTACCCACTAAGACTGAGGAGTATGAGACTTCGTGGAGGACTGTTACCCAGCAAAAACATAGATGAGATTGTTGAAGTAAGTTCACATCTGAAAGGTTATTCCATATAAGACTGTCCTGCTTTCACTCATGTGTTCACTTCGTCGTGTTATCAGTGCCCTACTTTTATTTATGTATTCACTTCTTTATTTATGGGGAAATAAAATTTCGCTGTATTTTTTTTAGCGTTCCTGTAGAAATCTTTAGCCTCCTGAGACACAGGAACATTCCATTCTTCACATACATAAGAATTTGATCTCTAGCTATTTGTCTACTTAATGGTCCTGATATGAAAGTATAATAAAACTAATATTTCCTCAAGAGGACCAAATGGTTATATCCTGTAATAGTTCCCTAGATTAAGCTTCAGGATGTCAAGGAGACTGGAGCATTATCTCCCCAGTACTGATATTTCAGAAGAAACAATGCCTCAGACACAGGGGGCTATCTGCCTCATAGAGATATTTTATTTACATATACCAAATGATTGGGGTAAGGATTCAGGCCCATTAGGATTCAGGGTCTCTAAGGAGACCCTTTTAGAAAGGGAGGGATACAGTGGCCTCTTTCCTCTTTATTAGCAGAGAGCAAAAAAAAAATTTACTTTGTCTCTCACCCATGGAGTATCTGGATATTCAGATAGAAAAAAAAAAAAACAAAACTATCATCTTTCATCATGTCACTGCAAGGACAAAAGAAGGGCAGTCGAAGCATTCAATTTTTACTGTGAGATAGTAAGAAATCTGTTTCTGACCCAGGACGTCTCCTAGGAGCATTTAGGATACAATTTTTAAAAGATGAATATTAAAAAGAAACAATTGGGTAGTTGTTACACAAATATCTATTACAAAACCTATTATGTGCCAACCTGGGTTTCAATGCCAAAGATAAATTAGTGCTAAAAGAAGCATGGCACCTAACACATGGAGTTTACGGTATAGTAAAAAGATTATCTATGGAAAAATAACATGAATATGTGCACTATTATAAATTCTTATGCTATAAAAAATCAGGTTGTTAGGAAGAAGAACAAGGAAAATCCAATTTAGATTGGTATTAGACAAGACCTCTCTTAGAAATTACTTCATAGCACTTAACATATATTGATAATGATGAAGATAGAGATTATATGTATCTATCTTCCTATCTATTCATCTTCATTCTTTCCTTTCCTTTCTCTTCTAGCTTTGTCACTAAGGTATTCCAGTACCTAGAATAAAGCCTTGTACATAATAGGAAGTCAAGAAATACTTGTTGAATAAATGAATGAGTGAAAAATTATTTGGACATTTAAACTTAGCCCTAAAGTGTGGTGATAAGTCAGGCCATAAATGGAGAAAAACCATTCCAGATTCAGGAAAAAGCATGTTGAATAATTTCACAGTAGGAGTAAACAATAACTTCCTGGCCATATTAAAGATGTTATATTTATCTCAAGATAATTTTTACTTTTTAACAAAGGGATGACAATATCCAAATTTATATATTTTTTAAAAGTCATACTGTCTATGGAGCGAACAACAGTTGTTCTAAGAGAAAGACAAAGTAGAAAATTCACTGAACTACTACTTCAGGCCAGGCGCAGTGGCTCAGCCTGTAATCCCAGCACTTTGGGAGGCCAAGGTGGATGGATCATGAGGTCAGGAGATGGAGACCATCCTGGCCAACATGGTGAAACACCGTCTTTACTAAAAATACAGAAAAATTAGCCGGGCATGGTGGCACGTGCCTGTAGTCCCACCTACTTGGGAGGCCGAGGCAGGAGAATCACTTGAACCTGGGAGGCGGAGGTTGCAGTGAGCCGAGATTGCGTGCCACTGCACTCCAGCCTAGGTGACAGAGTGAGACTCCTTCACAAAAAAAAAAAAAACATAAATAAAATAAAAGTACTTCATTAGGCTATGGTGGACAGGTGAGGAAGGTGACAGCAGACATAGGAATAAGGGCTAAGATTTAATATAGGACTTTTACTAATAATCATAGAGATTTGCTGATGAGGATGGAGAGAGAAGCTGGTATGGCTGTTGATCACTAGGTCACAGCTTGAAGTACAGAGCACATGCTAGTGCCATGTGGAAAGACGGAGAAGTTTGAAGGAGAAATATAAATGGAAGATCCAAAAATTAGGAGTTCAGCTTAGGACAAGTGAAATTTTAGATAAATGGAAGGTAACCAGATGGAGAGATCAAGATATACAGTTCTGAAAGATCAGCATTATATATATAGCTATCTTCAACATCAGTATACCTATGTGACATTTAAAGGTAAAGGAATGGATGAGATGATCTAGAAAGTGTTTAAATGAAAAGGGCAAGAGGAAGACAGTTAGAGGTTGGATGAGGAGTCTGAAAGGAAACAGAGGAATGCCTAGAAAGGAAAAGGCAAACATGGTAAGTAGGTAGTGACTCTAGAGCAGAAAAGTCCTCACAAAGGAAAAAACAGAAACGGGGTGAATGATTCTGAGAACACTGTAAGAAGAGTAAAAAAAATGTCCATTGGATTTTAATAATGTGAAAATTATTGTAACACTAGCAGTAGCAGTTTTCATAGAATTTAGGTATAGAAGCCAGATAAGAATCCATTGAAATCTGAATGTGTGGCATTGTTCTGTGAGCTCTGAAAGGACTAGTCAAGGATACATGCAGGATGCAAATTAAATCCATGGCAAAGAAGTGCAATGTAAGTAACAGCAAATTAATCAGTAACATATTTTGGGAATTATTGACTGTAATACATGATTCATTTTGTAGCTGATTTTAAAAATACCGGAGCCAAATCTCCAGACAATAATGATTTGCAAAATGACAATGGAAGCATTTAAAGGACTGTTAAGCATAAGGTGCTTTCATGAAAAAATTTGGATCATGCTACAAATATATACAGTTAAATATGTATATTGAAATTTTAATTACTTAAAATAAAACCTATAGAATCCAAACCAGCAGATGAAGTATAAAAAGAGGGAGAGATAGAGAGAGGGAGAAATGAAAAGAAAGTGCCAGGATTCAAATGACTCAGAAGTTTTCAAGGCTAAATGATTGGGAAGATAACATTTACATAAATGGAAAAGGATATACAAGAATATGAGACATAAGCAAAAGATTTAAAAGCACAGTTTACTAACTTGTCAAGGGTAATGAGTGCCAATTTGAATTATTAATAGCCCCTTAAAAGGTGAAATCAGTGAGCTGAAAAAATATATTATGAATTTTTGTTTCTACTTATGCAAAATTTACTAGTTCCTTACCACTGGAATGAAATGTGACCCAAAAAAATGGTATACTAATTAAAATGTTGCTCTTAGGAATGCACTCCCATCACAATGAAAAGAAAAACCTCTATCTGCAAGGTAAGAGTACAGAGGTGATATTTGCTTTCTTAGCCTTCAAAAGAGAGGCCAAAGAATTTAAACAAAAACAAAAAACAGAGAAAGACTTCACAACATTTGAACAAGAACAGCTGCTCCTTTCCTCAACCTAGTCATAATAGAGCAAATTATAACCTTTGTGTAAACATTTACTTTCAGCGCAAACTAGACACTAAGCAGGTGCAATAGGAACACAAAGATCTCATATGTCAAGGAAGAGAATATTGTCAACACTTTATTACTACATTTAGTAGGATATAATAAGAGACAAGTCCTTAATATCATCATCATGGAATTATGCTTTCATTCATTCCTTCACCAAGCATGAGTTCCAAATTTGTTTCAACTTCATTCCATAGTTGAGCTTAGTTATTTAAATAATCATAACCAGTTAACTTTAAATTGCATTATACTTTATATTATTTTATACTGAATTCTGTATTTTTTACACAATCCTAAGAGGTAAGTTGGTGTGGCTATGATATCAACTTTGCTGATGAAAAAATTCTGATTTGGAGAGATGAAATGGCTCCCATAGGTTTTTAAGTCTTTAGAGGCAATTAGAAAATGGAGCAGTTCTTAGATTCCCTAACTTAAAGTTTGGTTTTTCTTTGTATTAAAGTACATTTTTAGACAATATCATACAATAAATGTTAGCTGTAAAGTTGGTTTGGTTAAAGCTTATTTGTAAAATAAAGAATTTAGAGCATAATTACATTAGTGTATTTTAAATTAAGAATCCCATACTAAGTGGGGTCAATTTGATTTAAATTTGTACTTACAGAGATTTGCATAATAAAATATTTTAGCAACAAACAGTAAATAAGAGCTGAGAGAGTGGAGCCAGCATATGGACACAATTATTCTGAGAAGCCTTGTTGGCACTAAGGCTATTAAATATTATAATCAGGCAGAGTTTTGTTGGTAAAACCTAAAGATTTCTTTTCTACTCTCTCTGCTTTGTGTAGTTTGGTTCTTAATTTCATGAAAATGTAGATTAGTTTGTAAAATAAAGAAGTGATGGAATCAGCAACTGCTGTCACAGGACCTGGACCAAGCAAGTTCTAAAGCCTTAGGCATCTGCTGACATGCCTCTCCTTCACCTAGTCTTCAAAGGTTTACAGTAGAGAAGGTGGCCTGGGTCAACTCTTATTCTCACATTCCTTCCAGTGTGTCAACCTAATACAGAGATTTGAAAGTAAGGCCTAATTTTACAAAAACTGTAGAGTAGTGATTTACAAACTTCATTGTAGAATCGCAATTAACATATGAGCTATTAGAAAATACAGATGTGTAGTCTTCACCCCTTGAAAGTTTGGTTCTCTGGCCATAGGGTATGCTTTGGGCATCTGTAGTTATTTAAAACCCCTCCAGATGATTTGGCTGTTAAGATGGAAATAACTATTGTACTTGTCAAATACCAGCTTACGAGGCTGGGGACTCTCTTGCAGCTTCTAACTTCTGAATTCTCAGCTCACTGCTTTAGATACATTTTAATCTCAAAGAAAAGAGAGCAGCCTGTTTTCTTGAAAAAAGGTCAGGACATTTATTGGGACATATTTTCATATTAGAGGAGGGTACTGTTATTTACAGAGGATACCTCATGATAACATTGTCTATTTGCTGCCTGGGACAGAGACACCAGGTTTTGTGTTCTCCTTCTTGTGAGCATTATTAAGTAGCTAAATTAGATAGAGCCTTCTTTATAATCTATATCTCTCTTTCCACATTTCAATCTGTCCAGTAGTAAAACAAAAGGGTCACTGGTACATATGCTAATGGTTCTGAGTTTCTATGACTACCTTCTTTAATTTTTTTATTTGTTTTAATTTTTTAATTGACTGATAATAATTGTACTGATTCATGGAGTACATAATGATGTTTCAGTACCTGTAATATATAGTGATCAAATCAGGATTTTAGCATATCCATCATATGAATCATTTATTACTTCTTCATGTGGGGAGCATTCAGTATCCTTCTGGCTATTTGAAAGTATATAATATTTTACTGTTAACTATAGTCATCTTATAGTGGCATAGAACACTAGAACTTATTTCTTCTACCTCGCTGTAGTTTTGTACCTGAGGATAGGATTCCTACAGTTTAGATTTTGGTTCGGAGGAGACTGTTATCCACTGAAGCTTCAAGCCTAGACCATGTAACCAGTCTTATAAGAGCCCTAAATTGGGAGTTTTGGGGCTCATGAATCACCTCTAATATGGCTGTAATTCAGATACTATTTTTCGAAGTTTCTTGCACTCAGTATGCCTGGAAGTATCTTCAGCCTCTTCAATTTGCTTCTGAGATTTTTGTCTGGCCTTATTGTCTATATCATGCAGTGCCTTCCATTATTAAAAAATAAAAACACTGTACTTTCAAGGCACTGACAATCATGGATTCATTCCCATCTATCATTTTCTCTCAGTTATTCCATTGTTCCCAGGTCAGAGTCCTGTTGCTCCTCACTCTTTGGTGGAATTGAGTAGAGAAACAGTTCTCACTTCTCTGAACTATGTTTATTAAGGCCATAATGTGTGCATAGCTCCCAAGATGCAAGCTTTTCTAAGTTGACTGTAGCTCATTCTCCCCCAAATGCATGTTGGGAGAGAATATCAAGGTCGGGTCATATCAATATAGTCATGACTAAATGACCTGTTGATATTGTATTTTATTGAAGTTCCCTTGTAACTCTGGGACAAATCCACTCCCAGGAAGCCGTTCTGTCCCTTATCAAACTAAATGCTCTGGTCCAAACTTCTATATCTTCAGAAATGACTGAGATTCTTGTCATAGGAGTCTCCATAATCCCATGGGGGGAAAGTATGGTTGTAAATGGATCTAGCGAAATGTCACATTTTGTAACAAAATCTCAGTCTGACTTACTTGAGTTCCCTACCATCCTTAGTACTGTATAATTTATACACTAATATTTGTATATATCTATCTCTATGTATCCATCTATATATCTATGAATCTATCTCCATTTATCACATATCTATCTCTATTAGCTACATATCATGTACTTGTATCTACTCCCTCCTTATGAAGATATTAATTTGTTAGTTTTGTGTAACTCTACTGACCTGGAGTAAACTGAGATATATGGGAGATTTATGCTTAGCACAAATTCTGCGAAAGATTTATGTTCAACATCTCCTTTTAAAATATATATTTTAAAACGAGCTTCCCAAAATACTTATTTCAAACACCATGAAAGAAAAAATGGTATTTAACCCATTTAGAGTCTGACATACATTTTTCTTATTTAACACATTTTTATATAGCTTGAGGTTTCTTATTTGATTTTTAAATTATTGTGTTAGGAATTATTTTCATTGAAAGATTATTAATGTAAATTAAGTCATAGCAATAACATAAAGATTAATTTTATATATTCACATTCCTCAGTAAAAATATGATAAAATTTCCATAGAGTTGATTTTTTTCAACTTTATTCTTGAGTATGACCCAATAAATCTGATTTACAGGGCAATTATGCAAAACTGTTTTTATTATCACTTTGGATAAAAGTACTATATAAAATAATCTAATAAAATGGTGACTAAGGCACAGCATGTCCTCCAAATGAAAACACAGGAGCTCTGGTCTGTCTTATTCTTATACTGAGTCCTGTTCCTAGAGTTTCTGTGAGCTCTGAAAAAAATTTCTCTTAGACCCCAATGACAATATTCTTACTAAGCATACTCCCTCACCAAGGAAATATCTAGTGGCTGCCCTGATTTTGAAATATATTCTGACTAGTGCCCCACATTTGATTCCTTGGAATCTAACTTTTGGAAACTATCAGACATATGGACAATAGGGAATAGTGCAGAATTCTCTCCTGTGATTAGTACTGAATCATTCCAGATGAGCTGGAAAAATCTTTCATGTACCTGGACCCATGGAATTCAAGAGCTATCTAGCTAAAGAAAGTGGGAATGAGATTTGTTTCCATTGTCAATGCAAGCAACTCAACTAACTATCCTCAAATTATATTTTAGCCTCTGGAAGGTTTGGCAAATGCTTGGTTAGTCTAGAAAAAGATATTTGGGAAGGCCACATTACTCAGAGTTGTATGCATCTGAAACCTTTGTGTGCGTATTTTAAAAATAATTTAGAAAATATATGTACTCACCATTAAGTCATCTTAAAATGTTGTATTTCAATTTTAAATAGCTGGAAAGAATAATTTGAGGCAGAATATTATGTCAATCTTTAAACAATTTAAGTGGCATAAAAATACATACTGTTATACATATTATCATATATATATATACACACACGTGCAAAACGTTTTAACAATAACTGTTAGAATGAATGGAATTTCATTCTAATCTATTTTAAACTTTAAAGTCATTCTTGATCATCCTCTCTTATTCCTTTGCAATAAATAACCTGTATATAAATAACCTGTATATAAACATAGTTTTGTGTGAAGCAAGTTTCAAAGATAATGACTTTCATGAGAACTGTCTCATTTAATATTAGAACACCAAATGTCAGATTTAAAAATAGTTATATG
Organism: Homo sapiens; assembly: GCF_000001405.40. Lineage (NCBI taxonomy): Eukaryota > Metazoa > Chordata > Mammalia > Primates > Hominidae > Homo > Homo sapiens. The sequence continues at coordinate 57,169,194 of NC_000002.12, forward strand.
AAGATTTAAAAATAATTAATAAACATAAAAGTATAATTTTACTGGAAATATAAATATGAGGTGGATGGAAAGTTATGGAAATTTTGATTTATTATATCTGTGGACAGATAATTTCTTATCGAATATCATATGGATAAATGTATTTTTTCTATTTCTGTCATTATTTTAAGCTTTGAAAAGCTAATGAACGTAAATTAGCAAATAAGAACAGAATGGAGTTCTATACCAAATCTCACATAGTAATCAATCATAAAAACTTATTTTTGACTTTCTATGTGCTATTAGTTTAATTGAGTCCTGTGTCAATTTTGTTGAAAATAAGACATTGGTAACAATCTTCCTTGCAAAATGATTTCATACTCAGTCATTGATTTTTCCATTTTCTTAACATTAACAACCATATTTATCATTCTTTTGGTATTTGAGAGATAAACTATCAGAAAGGAAAATCCATAGGATGCCTTAATAACAGACACATTCTCAGCCAGACCCATATTAGAAAAGAATACATATGGTAATTGAAATTTTAAAATGAAAGTTTTTTAATAATCTTCATGACCATGTACTCCTAGGAAAGTTTTCATATATTCCCATGTGTTCCTACAAATCACATCTAAGACTACTAGAGTAAAGTAAAGAACTGGCCTAAAGGCAGGAGAATCACTTGAACCCGGGAGGTGGAGTTGCAGTGAGCCGCGATCATGCTGGCGCACTCCAGCCTGGGTGAGAGAGACAGAGACTCCATCTCAAAAAAAAAAAAAAATTAAAAATTAAAAAATAAAAAAGAACTGGCCTAAATGATTATCTTGATTTCATTTCAAAAATATAAACTAAATTAAATGAGGAAGAAACACATCTCCTGACCCATAAGTACTGATAACAGATTGTGCTTCGGTTTCAGCTATTTACGCTTCTCTTAAAAACAAAAACAAAAAGATGCTTGTCTTATGTTCCTTAGACCCAGAAAGCACATTGATTCATGACAATGCACTTCCAAAAACCCATTTCAATTTGTTTTTTAATGTACACAGGTTGCAGATTAAACATACTACATAACTTCCCTTGTGTATCTAATCAAGCTCAGTGGTATTACATATTTGAGTTTCCTTTGTCAACAATAGACAGTGGGAACAAAGAGTCAAAGAGTTGAAAATTAAAAAGAGAGAGAGAGAGATTGAAATTATTGTTTTCTCTCAGCCAGTGTAATTCTGCCCTCACAATGATGATGATACTATTCTATAGTTTCATAAGTTTGTATTCACTTTTTAGAAAAATGAATCTGCATCTAATTATAGAAGAGGGAAATTGGGAAATTGTTATTTTATATTCAACATACATATATATGACATGAAGAGTCTAGAAACAAATAATTAAAATAAACATCATAGGAAATATTAAATTTGGGCTACTTCCTAAACATACTCATCCCTTGAAGGATAGAGCAAAGACATCTAACTAGTGCTGCTGGTGCCATTTTGGCTCTAAAATCTGTTTCTTTATCAAGAAAACTCATCTATAAAAGAAATCTAAAAGATAAAATAAAAGATCATGCTTCATACTGACCATCTATTGCACAGATTATTGTTTAAAGTGCTACCAGAGCATAAGAAACTTGTAGATAACTTCAAGTTGAATAGGTTTAACAAAACCTATTTAAAGAAAGAATTGAGCTTAGAAGTATAGGGTATATGCAATGGCCCTTCTGAGCACACTTTATCTCACTTAATAGTGCAGTTAAATCTATACCATTCCCCTAGCAATAATCAGTGCTGAGTATTTCAGAAATCCTAATCTCTAATGCATAATTCAAGAAAATAAACAGGTGCTTTTGGATTGCCTTCAGTGTAAAATCTAGATCTAGATTTACTGTTTTATAAACTTAATGTCCCCACTTCACTGATACATAAGAGCTACATTTATTTACCTGCAATTCAAGGCCTCAGTGCTTTAACCTTTGTCTTCCTGCTTTATGATGTTGTAGTACTCCTTTTACAGAAATACCTATATTAAATAGAGATGGACAATCTAGATTTTACCCCAACAAATAAGTTCATTTAGGCACTGATTAATCACATGTAAAGTGAGGCATGTTAAATTTTCTCCTCCAACACAGTAAAATTAAATATATCAATTTCTTCACTGTCAGAATAACGTAATAGACATGGAGGAGGACTAAGATTGAGTAAATTCGTTCCAGTGCTGTCTTTTTACTGTGTGTGTAATTTTGGATGAGTTGCTTGTGTGTTCTCAGGATCTATTAACTACATTTATCAACAGGGTAATAATAGCCCCTGTTCCCCTATAGGCTAATGGCAACTTTCAAATCTTTTGAAAAAGTCAAAAGCCTTTGCATTTGGTCCTGACCCATTATTACTCTGTGAATTAATCCTAAAAGTCAGTACTCAATAATGTGGCTTTTTAATCATGAGCAACAGTGGCTGCCCTTTCTGTCACTATCTTCAAACTCACCAGTTCTCTCTGCTTGTTAGCGAGTTAGCTACTTACAAAGCTACTTCTAGGCAATTGTGTTTGACACCTGGCCTCTTAGAGTTATCTGCTTCCTACAATACTGTAAGATGCTTGGGGTCTAGAAACCACATGGAGCAACCACCATTCAATTTCCATGCGGGGATGATATTTTTCTTTGCACATTCCTCAATGTCAGTGGTTCTTGCACTCCCAAAGCCAGAATATCCATCAGCATGATTGATCTTGTTTTCACCCTAGAAGAGTCCTTGACATCAATGGAGCTTTTTAAAGTACTGACACTTTAACTAATCTGGATTGTGGCCTAGGCACCTTAAAGCTCTCCAAGAGCTATAAAGATTAAGAACCACTAATCTAGAAGAATCTAGAGGATTCCTTAAGAAATTTTTAAAAATATTTGCATAAAATTCCTAATTTTCAAGCATGGGAAATTACTGGAAGATACCTGTTGACAACAGCATCAGGAAGATACATTTGGGAAAGGACAGTCTCTTCAACAATAGTGCTGGGGAAACAGGATATCCATAAGCAGAAGAATGAAACTAAACTTTTATCTCTCACCATATAAAAAAATTAAATCAAAATATATTAAAACCTTAAATGTAAGACCTGAAACTATGAAACTCCTACAAGAAAACATTGGGAAATGCTTCAGGACATTGATCTGGAAAAAGATTTCTTGAGGAAGCTGTCAAAAGCACAGGCAAATAAAGTAAAAATGGACACATGGCATCACATCAAGTTAAAAGCATCTGCACAACAAAGGTAACAATCAAGAAAGTGAAGAGACAAGTTACAGAATTGGATAAAATATTTGCAAACTATTCAACTGACAAGTGATTAATAACCAGGATATATAAGAAACTCAAACAACACAATAGCAAAATAATATTATAATAATAATAATAATAATAAATGATCCAAGTAAGAAATGGGCAAAAATCTGAATAGACATTTCTTGAATACATACAAATGGCCAACAGATATATAAAAAAATGCTCAATATCAATAACCATCAGAGAAATGCAAATCAAAACCACATAAGTTATCTTACCCTAGTTAGAATGGCTTTTATCAAAAAGACAGGGAATAATAAATATTTGTGAGGATGTGGAGAAAGGGGAAAGCTAATAAGCTGTCAGTGGGAATGTAAGTTAGTACGTCCACTGCAAAAGATAGTGGGCAAGTTCCTCAAAAAACTAAAAATAGAACTAGCATGTGATCCAGCAATCCCACAGCTGGATATTTATCCCAAAACAAAAGGACTTCAGTATATTGAAGAGGTATCTGCACTCCCATGTCTACTGCAGTACTATGCACATTAGCCAAGACACAGATTCAACGTTAAGTGTCCATTGATAGATGAATGGATAAAGACAATGTGTTACATATAGACAGTGACATATTATTCAGCCATGAAAAAGGATGATATCCTGATATTTGCAACAACGTGGATAGAACTGCAGGATATTATGTTAAGGAGAATAAGCCAAGCATTGCAAGATAAGTATCTCATGTTCATGTTCTCACTTATATGTGGGAGCTAGAGTATTGATCTCATGGCAGTAGAGAGTAGAATGATTGTTACCAGAGGCTGGGAAATGTAGACGGAGAAAGAGAGATACAGGGGAAGAAAAAGAGATTGACTAATGGGTACAAAAATATAGATAGATAGAAGGAATAAAGTCCAGTGTTTGGTAGCACAATAGCGTTCCCATAATCAACAATAATTTATTGTATATTTCAATATAACTAGAAGATTGGATTTGGAATGTTTTCAACACAAAGAAATAATAAATGTTGGAGGTGAAGAATATCTCCATTTTGCTCTTTTTTTTTTTTTTTTTTTTTTTGAGGCAGAGTCTTGCTCTATCACCCAGGCTGGAAAGTGTACAGCAGTAGCACGATCTTTGCTCACTGCAACCTCCATCTCCTGGGTTCAAGAGATTCTCCTGCCTCAGCCTCCTGAGTAGCTGAGATTACAGGTACATGCCACCACGCTCAGCTAATTTTTGTATTTTTATTAGAGACAGGGTTTCACCATGTTGGCCAGGCTGCACATTAACACCTGACCTCCAGTGATCCACCCACCTCAGCCTCTCAAAATGTTGGGATTACAGGTGTGAGCCACAGTGCCCAGCCACAATTTTCCTCATTTGATTATTACATATTGTATGCTTGTATGAAAATAGCACATAAACCCTATAAATATGTACAACTATTTTGTATCCATAAAAAATATATATAATTATATATGATAATATATAATATATATTATTAAATGATATATAGTATGATACATAATATAATATATAATATAGGGTATGAAGTGAGAGAGACAAAAGGGAAATAATAATCTATTTTATGTTTAAACGCTGCAGCATATTGAAGGCGGGAAGAACACCAATAACAATAATGTTTGTGGTGGTTCTTGGTAGCCATTAATGCCCTTAATAATGAATAAGAATTTAATGACTAAAAAATAAGCTGCACTTTTCTGGAATGGTTGACTTTCAGTGAAGAAAAAAATTAACTTTGCTTCAATTTAAAAAGTTACTTTGCCTCTCATTTAAACAACCCTAGTCCCTGCTTGCCTGCTGATAAATTCTTATCTTAATGTCTACTCCAGCTGATTCTTCTTTTCAGCTCTAGACTCTGATCTCCTTGAGAACAGCAGCATCACATTCATCTTTTATTTCCCCCTTCTTTGCAGTATCCCTGGCATATAGAAGGCACTCAGTAAATATTGATATGAACTGAGCTGAAAGCACCCTATCTTCACCTTGATCTCCTGGCTTTCTAAGCTGGGTAAAATTAGACATAATCATTATATTCTTGTAAAAGCAAGGACTACAGTGCCTCAGAGCTTTAAGCAACCCACTGTCATTCCACAAAGAGGTAGCATTTTGGATACAAAAGAAATTAGCATGTATTAATTTAAGATGGCCTAATTCAAGTAGCAAATATATTTGAAAGCATAGTAAAGCAATAGCATGAATAACTGTTTTGCCACCTGATATATTGATAGAAAAGGAGAAAGCTTTACCCCTGAAATAAAATGCTTAATCTCAGTGTCAGTGTTTTGTATATTAAAAATCTTAATTGAAAAAATTACATCATGAAACTATTAGCAATCATTGTAACTGTTAGACCACAGGAGAATGTGCAAGTTGCTGCTAAGTACGTGGCAAGTTTTTATAATAATAATCAGCTAAACTGCTTAAGTGAGTGATACCATTTAAATTAGGAAATTAAAGCTTGAATTATTTTTCTGAAAATTTGCTACTGCTTCTTAAAGAAGCTAAAGTCTTGTTGGATATTGGAATTCTCTATAGCCACTGATTGTGTGCTGTTTACAATCAATCTATAATTTGCTTGGCTGCTTCCAATAAAATATTAATGCAATCAAACCTAAAATGTTTCTGTTCACAGGCATCCTCTTATCATGGGTCAGACTATAAAGCTCTATTATTAACATAAGCCAAGTATTTGCTGTTTAACTGCATACAGATAACTTTGGAAATCTCATCCTAAGGAGTTCAAGATACTTTTTTTCCTTTGGACTAGGACTTCATTTTCTAACTAGATAATTTTCAGCTAAGTATTTATTGTTAATATATAGTTGACATAGATTGTCTTAGGCAATATGCAAATTATTAAAGGGTATAGGATAAAGTTCTGACATTTATATATGACTGCAGAGACAATAATACACATAAAAAGGTTGAGAACATAAGACAACATGTTCTTAAAACAATGCTACATGCTGTCATTTCTGAGGAAGGGGGTTTCTCATTGAGGGTAGTATCAGAAGAGGATTAGAGACAGGGCATCAAGATGAGTGACAATCGAATGTAAACATCCCTCCTACCAAGTGGCTCTTATCCTGTCCTTTACTCAAAAGTAGATAGCCATTGTAAAAACACTTTAATAAGAAGGAAATCTCATGTATGTTGAAATAACTATGTATCAAATTAGAGAATTTGGTGTACTTGAGCTGAAGTCATTAAGACTGGAAAGTAAACAGATAAAAAGGTAAAGGATAGAGCCTTCCAGCTGCAGAAAATAAAGGAAAAAGAAAAACAAAAACAAGAAACCTTTGAGAATGGTTTTCCTGGAATAAACAAGTAGGGGTAGGGTGAAATACAACTGATGAACAGACTCTGGCACAGATAAATTTACATTATTTTAATCAGAGAAGAGATTTTATCTCAAAAATAAATCTCACGAAGTTCTAGATTGTGATGGAAGAGCTTTGATACTCCGACATATTTGACATTATACTAGTTCTAGGATTTCTTTATCCTGGATATGACTACAGTGATCCTAAAACTCCTCAAGAAGTTTCATATTTAGTAGAAAGACATCCCAAAACTCACTTCATACTAGGTCCCACCATATATAATCACTAAATGGGGTTACAGGTTTCAACTTTCCATGAAGCTAATGGGTCACATCAGATAAACAGTTTCTTGTTTCATTAAATCAAATAGTCTGATTTTGATGCAAAAGCTAATGTCTTACCATGCATCCTTCTGGCTTACGTCTCAAGTCAAATCACTATACATACACTACCATAACTGAATACAACAAGCTGTGTTCATTGATTATTGAGTGAGGAGGAGCTGTATCATTTAAAAAACAAATTGTATGGGTCTCCCTGAGAAGAAATATAAAGAGCTAGCTTTAGGTTTCTCAACAGAAGCACTATTGACACTTTGTTATTTTTTGTTTTTGTTTTTGAGACTGAGTCTTGCTCTGTCACCCAGGCTGGAGTGCAGTGGCACAATGTGGGCTCACTGCAACTTCCATCTCCTGGGTTCAAGCTATTCTCCTGCCTCAGCCTCTTGAGTAACTGGCATTACAGGTGCCAGCCACCACACCTGGCTAATTTTTAAAAAATATTTTTAGTAGATATGAGGTTTCACATGTTGCCAGGCTGGTCTTGAACTCCTGACCTCAAGTGATCCACACACCTCGGCCTTCCAAAGTGCTGGGATTACAGGTGTGAACCACTGCTCCCGGCCACTATTGACACTTTGGACTGAGTAATTCTTGGTTGCGTCTCTGTGTGGTGGTGGGTGGGGGTGTCATATACATTGTAGGATGCTGAGCAGTGTCTCTGGCCACTACTCACTAGATACCTGTTACCCTGCTCCTCTAAGAGTATGACAATCAAACTCTCTCTAGATGTTTGCAAATTATTCCCCGGTGGGCTAAATCACCTGTGGTTGAAAATTACTGGGTAAGAGAAAAGGAGAAAAAAGAAAAAACACCAATTTAGGCAATATGAGTTCAAGTCTTAAGTTGACTTAGAAAGCAGATTGTATACTCTTTTTTACAAATGATCTTATGTTATTTGTCTCAGAAGGGAGGGTGTAATTCTCAAAGGGGTCCAGGATGAGATGAATAATACTGTAGTGAGTATTTGGATGTGCATGCTAGAAGCTTGAATAACTTTTTTTTTAACGACCCACTTTTATGGGTCCCTATTGCCCCTTAAAATATAGAAGAAACCAGCATTGGGTCATGTGTTAATAATTTCTGTCTTTACCACCATATGCATTATTATCAGCTGATAATCTCTGGATTTTTATGAAGCTTCTGGCATTTACTCTGAGCAGAGCAGAAACAGTTCATTTTACTTTTGTTGAAGAATGAGTTTTTGTGCCATGTGACAAGAAAGGAGTTATGCAACATCATTTCAGACTCTGCAGACCAGACATCTGAAGATGTGAGATGAATAAGAATAAGTGCAATTACATAAGATCGGACTAGAAGACACTTCAGAGCCATGACAGGAGATCTCCCAATCTTGGCAAGGGAAACAGGTCCCAGAGACCTCCAGTGTCTACTTTTAATAGTCAGGTTGCCCTTCCCTTTGATTTGCATATGGATTATTCAGGCATCCCTGTGGTATTACTATATGTTCAGTAGAAAATGTTAGTAATAGCATATATTCTTTGTTGGCATACCAGCAGGAAAACTAGGGATACCCTATGATCCAAAAGTCCTCAGGCCAAAGTACTCAGTCCTGCTTCTTGTGCTTTTTGGGCTTATGCAGTATTACTGATCACAAGCCAGTATTAGAGTTACATTTGGATTGGTGGCTTTAATAACCTGGATTTCTTCCATTCATATGTAACCAAGTCCTTTTGATAAGCTAAGGCAATATGATATAAAAGTTAATATAATATGCAAAATCGACATGAATTTCTTCACTGTTTGAAATGATGTCATGATAAATCTCAATATTATAAAAGGATTTCTGGATATGTCTAGTTTAAATGAAGTCTTTTGATAAAAGGTAAAATGGCTTAGTTTAGAATATCATGTGAATATCTAATTTAATCCCTGCCTACTTGCCTATGCAATACATTTGCATATCACCATAGGCACTGTGAAAATGGTTAGAACTGTTTGATCCACAATCATTCCCTTCTTGCTAATGTATCTATCATGCTCAACCTCCCTCCTAGTTTCCTAAATTCAGTCAGCCATCCTGGCCAGCTTACAAATAAGAAACATGATTGACAGCTGTCTTCTCTCAAACTTCTACGGCTATTCTCTTTACCTTCCCCCTTTTAAAAATGTGCTTCCTCAATCTAAATTCCATTCAGTCTAGGGATTCCTTTCTTCTTCATTGACAAACTCCCCCTCTATCTTCTGTCTCTTCCTTAATTGACCTGGCATGTCACATTAACAGACATGGTTTTCTCCCTTGAAGATGTGTCCCATTGGGACTCTGGTGGAAGGAATCCCATTCACTTATTTGAAGCAATACAGGACTTTAGTTACCCATCTGCATTTCTGATTTTGGTATCAATTCATTTATATCATGCTTTCCACATTCTTGCTTTAATCACTCCTAAACTTCAATGAATCAATCTCTCTGTAATAACAATCGTATGGAAAGGAAAATGAAAACTTCTGTTTTTATTACAAATTTAATAGCAATAATAAAGCTAATTTGTTTGGAGATTGCATAAATAGACATACATTGTAAAGAAAAGAGATTTTAAAGAACAGATATCAAAACCTCAAGATTGTAGACAGGAGAAGAGTGAGAATGGTAGACCTATATAGCATGTATGTCAAATAGGAAATATGTTATTTAAATACTTATTTTAATTTTTTTAACTTTTAATTTTTGTGAGTACAGAGTAAGTGTATATATACTTATAGAGTACATGAGATGTTTTGATAAACCCATGCAATGTGAAATAATAACAACATGGAGACTGAGTATCTATCAATCACCTCAAGCATTTATTCTTTGTGTTACAATTCAGTGATACTCTTTTAGTTATTTTTCAAGGTACAATTAAGTTATTATTGACTATAGTCACCCTGTTGTGCTATCAAGTGGTAAGTCTTATTCATTTTATCTAACTATGTTTTTGTACCCATTAACCATCCCCACCTCCCTACCAGCCCCCCACTACCCTTCCCAGCCTCTGGTAACCATCCTTCTACTTGCTATGTTCATGAGTTCAATAGTTTTGATTTTTAGATTCCATAAATAAGTGAGAAAATACAGTGTTTGTCTTTCTATGCCTGGCTTATTTCACTTAACATAATGATCCCCAGTTCCTTCCATGCTGTTATAAATGACAGAATCTCATTCTTTTTTTATGGCTGAATAGTATACTCCCTTGTGTATATGTACCACATTTTCTTTATCCACTCATTTGCTGATGGACACGTAGGTTGCTTCCAAATCTTAGCTACTGTGAACAGTGCTACCACAAATATGAAATATATGGTATTCAACTGTTACATATTTTTTATTTAGTTATATTTGTATCTATAAAATTCAGATCCAAATATTCCTGTCTGTAATTAAGAAAGAGAACTGTGAGTAGTCAGGGCCAAAGAAGAAACTGTATTAAGAACAGAAAGGCTTTTGCAGATGGCTAAGCATAATTACCAGGTAGAAAAAGGGTCCAACAAGGCGTTCTAGTATGAAGGGTTAGCAACATGCAGCAAGAGCAGCATGTACAGAACAGATGCAGTTTCTCCTCTTCTGAGAGATAAAGCCTCTGGATGACCATGCTAGCAATGATGCACTGCCAACCAGTCATATGGAGGAAAACAGTAAAGAGATGACATTCCTTGAACAATCTTTGATGAATTACATGAAAACTGAGAAAGTGCCAAGAGAAAAGTAGGAAGTGCGAAGTAAGAAAAAATAAAAAAAAAAAAAAATAAAGACCTCTTAAATTGTCTGCTAACAATTGGAGACTTGTGGCTATTATTTACTTCAAATCCCAGGTCAGGGAGTAAATCAAGCTGTTTAACAGAAGACATGAAGAAACCGGTAACATACAGTTATAAAAGTAGAAGATATTAATAGCCATCATCAAAGCTAAAGGACTGTCATAAAGATGAGAGGTGAGATCAATCAGTACCCATCTTTCAGTCCATTCAAGGGACTTTCCTGCTCTGAGTGACGTAATTTGGAGGCCCTGAATATCTCAAATACACACAAAATAAATGTATTAAAGAATACTCAGACACACCGGTACAGCTCAACCCATAAACCACACATCTGTTCTTCTGACTGAGTCAGGCCTCTAGGAAGTTCCTTACCACATCTCTTGCTCTATATCTTCAAAACAAAGAACAACTGTTTTTGGAAGTTCTGAAGGTTTGGATTGTGCTACTAACTTTTTTTAGGGCACTATTTTGAACTATAAGGAGCTTTTCAGCTTTGGAAACACTTGGATGAAGGAAGAAAAAAAAAATTAACTTGTGAATCCTTCTTTCCAATAGCAAGGAAGCGATACATTCTTGAGTAATGAAGCATGTTTTGCCAGTCACACCATGCATTTGTTTCCTCCACGCTTCTCTTATTGTTCCAGTTTAGGATCTAAGAGATAATAATCACAATAAAAAATTTGATTTATTTTATACAATAAGATGCAGTTTTAAAAAAGGTAAAACAAGAGGTGATCTTCAAATGGAGGGTGAATTGTGGTCTTAGACAAAAACTAAAAGTGAATTTATATTTTCCACATTATTGAGTATAAACTAATTTACCTTTAATATCAGTGAAAGCTTAGCAAAAAAATGCTAACAGATCTGAATGATTTCACTATTAAAATGATTACAGTATTTTTAAAATTTTAGAGAAATTTGTTTCCTAAATAGATACAACATGTGGAAAAAAAGATAGATACAACATGTGGAAAAAAAGATAGATACAACATGTGGAAAAAAGGGAATACAAATATTATTCCAATAAAAATAAGATAATTAGAACAAGAAAATCAACACAATTTCTATGACTATGAAAGATAAGATTCATGAACATATAAGCTCAACACTTATTTCTATAGGGAATAACACTGGCAATTATAGATCAAAGTATATAAAGAAAACAAATTTGGCAACATATGCTATTTCCATTTTTTTAATACTATGTTACCATTGAAACATTTGAAAGAAGAATGGAAACAATAATCTATGAAACTAGATATTGTTTTAAGTGATGGTGAAAACTGCAATCTGAGATAGCAATTTATAAAATGAAATTACAGTATTTTGTAATATTTTCTGTGATGACACTTTAATATTTGTCACCTCATCACAAAATTTGAACAATACTATTTCAATTCTTTGGTTTACACCTTAATCTAACTGCCAATTTAAGAATTTTATGGACGATTGTAATGGCTATTGTCTCAGTGGGCTAAAATTTTCTATATTGAAACTACAAAAGTAAAATAACTAGAGCTATAATAACTCAGAGCTGTTGTAGGCTGAGAGTGGTGACAGGGATTATCTACAAAGAGGCATGAGGGAATTTCTGGATGATGAAAATATCTAACAACTGCATTGCTTTGGTGACTGCATGACTATAAACATTTGTCAAATTCATCAACTGTACACTTAAGAAGGGTGAACATCATTATATGGAAATTATACCTCAAAAAGTTGACTTTTAAAAACAATAAAACATTTGTTCTTTAAATGCTGGCAATATATCATTATTCCAACAAATTATTTCAAAATAATTTGTTTTTAAAAGTTGTCTAATTTGGCATTACTCTCAACAGAAGAAAATGTGTTATTCTGATTATAACAACATAGTTGTTAATGTTGATAAAAATGTAAGTTAAGATTGCATAAACATAATTTGTGACTCATGTCAGTCTTAATGTATTAGTCATCCAAATGCCACTGACTCAGAAAATAATCAGACATGCATAATAAAATTATATTTATTTACAATTTATATTTTACCAACTTTCCTTCTCTGGAAATTGTAGCTTAATACATACATTTCAATATTTCCACTACACAGAATATTTTTAGCCACTTTAATGAGGTATAGTTGACAGAGAAAAGGCTGTAGATAGATATACATATACATAGATAGATATACAATGTATACAACTTGATGTGTTTGAAGATAAGTATACACCCAGGAAATCATCACCACAATTTATGCTATAGACTTATTTATCACTTCTAAAAGTTTTTTCCTGCCATTTTTAGTTATTATTATAATAATTACATTTTTCTTTCTGTGGTAGGAGCACTTAACCTAAGATTAACCCTTTTTAGAAAATATTTAAGTGTGTGATACAGTTTTGTTAACTGTATGCTCTACAGTGTACAGTAGATCTCCAGAACTTATCTTGCATAACTGAAACTGTGTACCCTTGAAAATCCCCCCCATTACCCCTTCCCCAATTCCTTGGCAACCACCATTCTACTTTCTGCTTCTATGTATTTGAATACTTGGGATACCACATACAAGCAAGATGATTCAGTATTTATCCAGAACAGAAAAATAGAAGATTTTTTGTATTAGTTATGTTAGCTTGATTTTAACTTTTAGACAAAGGGTATGTTGCCATCTCTTCTCTTGACACAGGTCCCACAAATGTTAGAGGTGTATCTGAGACTCTCTGAATCTATGAACCTCTGCATTTATCTATTTTAACTTATAGGGAGGTTCCAACATAAAAAAGAATAAGCTAGCCATTAGTGCTGCCCCCAACCAGAGTGAACAGACTTTTTAAAAGGCTGTGCATGCTATGAAACTAGAGGATTCAAATCCGAGTTCAACAGTTGTGACAGAAGGATAACCTGGATGAGATTCCCTGCATTCTTAAAATAACTCTGGTAAGTGATGGTAAGCATTAAGGGTAATATAATTTTTAAATACCAAACTGCCTTTTAATTACATTAATATTTACTATACATTGAATACTAGATTCTGTGTTAAGCATTTCTTAGGTAATTCATTTAAGCTTTACAGATTTTGAGATGGATACCATGTGTTTCATTTTGCAGACAATGAAGCCCAACCTGAGAGAAATTAAATACTTTTATCAGGATTAGCCTCCCAGGATATGGCAGAGTTTGGATTTCAATCCTGGTCTATGAGTCTTCAGCAACCATGGTATTATTCCTTACACAACTGCCTTTAATTTATGTCTCATTTTTAAAAGAATGTTTTCTCTGGAAGAAGTTGTAACAGCTGCTTTCATTGTCCTACCATATCCCCTCAGCACTCACCCTTTCTGTAAACACCAGCCCACTTTCCAGCACACCTTCCCACATCTAGCCAGAATCTGGACCCATGTGTTCAAATAACAGGGTTTCCTTAGAAAATTGATCTGCTGATTAATGGAAAATTGTAAAGGGTTCTAAAAAGTGTAGGAAAATATTACCTTACAGTCAAGGTAATTAACACTGGATAGATTGATAAAACTAGTTTTTAATAAAATTTTAACATTAAAGATGCACCAACACAAACATGAAATTTGATTTTCTCTTTTGAAAAATAATTTTATGTAATATCGAGAGACAATTAAACATTTTTATTAGCCTTTTGAGTAAACTACAATAAAAGACAGGGTGGGGAGAGAGAGAAGACAGATTCACTTGACCTCATGCTGTCTTTATTGGGTCTTTATTAGAAAGCTGATTCTCTCCTCTCTTAGTGAGTATGAGATTTTGCATTTTTAAAATATTCGAGTAATCATTCTGGCTAAATGAATGACTGATAGTGACCTGAAGTTCTGTTTTGTGATATCCAGTGTTTCAAACCTTTGATATTTGACAAGTCTTCCAAGATCAAATTCTAAATTAAAAAAAAGGTAAAATTTAGGTCCCCTAAAGTGCAAAAAAGACATATTCAGCTTATTTAATATATTAAAATCATATAGGAAACACTGTCTGATATAAAATGGTGTTTAACTTTCTCTGGATTATGTTCATATAAATATTAGTATGTGTTACAAAATTATATGTTTCCTGTAATTGTGATATGTCTCTATATATGTTGCTAGTAGTAATTATAATTATTGTGTAAAATTGATGGTATACCACAGAAATAACCAAGATTCCTAGTGAATTTTGGCTTTAACTATGGCTGTCCTGAGAATTTTGTCACCCACAGACAACTGTTGTCTTGTTTTGAGCCTCTTCAAAAGGTGGTTATAATCAGCTGTAGGACTTTGACAGGTGCTCTTGAATTCAGGTCTTTTATAGCTTTGGAGATTGTGACATTAGAATAGAGGAAAACCTTTCAGAACTCTCATGGAAAGCTGGAATGTTCATGTATATCAAGCAGAACAGCAGTAAACCTCATGGACTGAACTAATAGAAGACTAAATTATTCCTTTTATGACTTTTGTTTAAAATGTTACTGATTCTTTGTTTTGTTTTTCAAAGTCAAGAACACTTTTATTTTAAGCTATTTACAGCTTTTAACAATTGAGTATACTCCTATAAATGAAATTTGAGGCATATTTCTCTCTGATTTCTCCAAATTTGAAAACTAGTTGTGAGCATTCTTAACTTATGGCAATATAGTTATTTGCATAAGTGCAATTAGAATCTGTTTTCTTTTGCAACAGGACACAATTGAAGAAACTGGTTATTTTTACCCAGGCTTTGACTGGAATGACATGCTTTCAAATATAAGCAGCCTGCTATAAGGAACCAGACTTGACTTATGGAACCAAGAAACTCAAAATCGTACCAATTATAATCTCACAATACAGTGAAATAAAAATAGAAATCAATATCAAGAAGCACTCTCAAAACTATACAATATGTGGAAATTAAACAACTTGCTCCTGAATGACTTTTGCGTAAACAACAAAATTAAGGCAGAAGTAAAAAAAAACTATTTGAAATAAATGTAAATAGAGACACAACATACCAAATTCTCTAGGATGCAACAAAAGAGTGTCAAGAGGAAAGTTTATAGTGCTGAATGCCTACCTCTTAAATGTAAAAAGATATCAAATTAACAATCTAACATCACACCCAGAGGAACTAGGAAAATAAGAACAAAACTAACCAGAAAGCTAGCAGAAGAAAATAAATAACTAAAATCAGATCAAAAGTGAACACAATTAAGACCTAAAAATACATACAAAGAATCAATGAAACCAAATTGAAACACTGAAGAGACCAATATCAAGTTCCAAACCTGAATCAGTATTAAAAAGCCTACCAACCAAAAAGAGCCCCAGACAAGAAGGATTTACAACCAAATTCTACCACATGATTAAAAAGAACTGGTATCAATTCTAATGAAACTATGCCAAAATATTGAGGAGGAGGGACCTCTCTCTAATTTATTATATGAAGCCAGCATTACCTTGATACCAAAATCTGGAAAAGAAACAAGGAAAAAAGAAAACTACAGATGAACATAGATACAAAAATCCTCAACACAACACTACCATCCTCAACACAACACTACCAAATCAAATTCAACAGCACATCAAAAATTTAATTTATCATGATCAAGTAGGCTTGATTCCTGTGATGCAGGGTTTGCTCAATATATGTAAATCAATAAATGTGATTGCCCACATATACAGAATTAAAAACAAAAAACACAGGATCATCTCAATAGATGCAGAAAAGGCTTTCAATAAAATCGAACTTTCCTTCATAATAAAAGCCCTTGAAGGAACATACCTCAAAACAATAAGGGCAGTCTGTGAAAAACCCATAGCCAACATCATACTAAACAGGGAAAAACTGGTAGCATTCCCTTTGAGAACTGAAACAGAACAGGGATGTCCACTCTCACCACTCCTATTCAACATAACACTGGGAATGTTAGCCAGAGCAATCAGGTAAGTGAAGGAAATAAAAGGCATCTGAATAAGAAAAGACAAATTCAAATTACCTGTCTTCACCAGTAATATGATTCTCTACCTAGAAAACCCTAAAGACTCTGCCGAAAGTTTCCTGGTCCTCATAAATGACTTTCGTAAAGTTTCAGTATACAAAAATCAATGTATAAAAATCAGTAGCATTTTTATACATGAACAGCATCCAGGTTGAATTTAAGAACACAATCTCACAATAGCCACAGAAATAAAATAAAAAATAAAATAAAATACCTAGGAATACGTCCAACCAAGAAGGTGAAAGATCTGTTCAAGAAGGACTACAAAACACTGCTGAGAGAAATCAGAGATGACAAAAACAAATGAAGAAACACTTCAGGTTGATGGATTGAAATAATCTGTATTGTTAAAATGGTCATACTACCCAAAACAATCTACAGATTCAATGCATTTCCTATCAAACTACCAATGTCATTTTTCTCAGAACTGGAAAAAAACTATTCTAAAGTTTGTATGGAATCCAAAGAGCAAAAATACCAAGCAAAAAGAACATAGCTGGAAGCATAGCATTACCTGACTTCAAAGTATGCTATAAGACTACAATAACCAAAACAGCATGGTACTGGTATAAAAACAGATACATAGACCAATGAAACAGAATAAAGAACCCAGAAATAAAGCCACAAACCTACAGCCATCTTTGACAAATTTCACAAAACTGAGCAATGGGAAAAGGACTCCCTATTGAAAAAATGGTGCTGGACAAGCTGGCTAGCCAAATGCTGAAGAATAAAACTGAACTCCTACCCTTCACCATACATAAAAATAAACTCAAGAGGGAATAAAGATTTAAATATAAGACCATGAACTATAAAAATTGTAGAAGAAAACCTAGGAAACACCATTCTGGACATCACCTTTTCAAAGGAATTTGTGACCAAGTCCTCAAGAGAAATTGTAACAAAAAGAAAAATTAAGGAATCAGGAAAAATAGCTAGTGTATGCTGGGCATAATACCTAGGTGATGGATTGATAGATGCAGCAAACCACCATGGCACATGTTTACCTATGTAACAAACCTGCACATCCTGCACATGTACCCTGGAACTTAAAATAGAAATAAAAAAAGTGAGTCCTAATTAAACTAAATAGCTTTGGCACAGCAAAAGAAACTATCAACAGAGTAAACAGACAACTTACAAGATAGGAGAAAATATTCTCAAACTATATATTCAACAAAGGTCTAATATCCCGACTCTATAAGGAGCTTACGCAATTCAACAGTCGAAAAACAACCCCATTAAAAAGTGGCCAAAAGAAATGGACATTTCTCAAAATAAGACATACAAAGGGCCAAGAAACATATAAAAAAAGTTTATATCAATAACCATAAGAAAAATGCAAATAAAATTACAACAAGGTAATATCTCACATCAGTCAAAATTGCTATTACTAAAAAGTCAAAAAACAACAGATGATGGGGAAGATGAGGAGAAAAGGAACATATATACAGTGTTGGTGGGAATGTAAATTAATTCAGCCACTGTGGAAAGTGGTTTGGAGATTTCTCAAATAACTAAAAACAGAACTACCATTTGACCCAGCAAACCTGTTATTGGATATATATACAAAAGAAAATGAATCATTTTACCAAAAGGACACATGTACTCATCACAGCAGTATTCACAATAGCAAAGACATGGACTCAACCTAGGTGCCCATCAATAGTGGATTGGATAAGGAAAATGTGGTATATATACACCGTGGAACACCATGCAGCTGTAAAAAAGAATTAAATCATGGTTTTTGCAGCCACATGGATGCATCTGGAAGTTATTATCCTAAGCTAATAATGCAAGAACAGAAAAAACCAAATACCACACATTCTCACTTATAAATGGGAGCTAAACATTAGGTACTCATAAGGATGGTAACAGTAGTCACTGGGGCCTACTAAAGGTGGGAGAGATGGAGGGTCCAAGGGTTGAAAAGCTAACTTTTGGGTACTATCCTCACTACCTGGATGATAGGATCATTCATACAGCAAACCTCAACATCATACAATAGACTCAGGTAATAAACCTGCACATGTACTCCCTGAATCTAAAATAAAAGTTTAAAAAAAAAAGCGCCTCCCCACCCACCAAATACCAAACAAGTGTCAGTTAGTCTATAGCTTAGCGATTCTAACATGCTGATAGGAAGACATACATCCACAAAAATGGAGGAGTAGCAAAGAAAATAAACCAAAAGAAGAGGAAAAGAACAACACCAAACTAATATTCAATAAGACTATCTCAAGAGTTATGTGCCACATATTATATCCATGTACCTTGGGAATCTGGTACTGGTGCTTGAGTATAAGCTTTAGTGTAATGTGGTAATTACCTTGGGCTTCCAATTTTTTTTATTAATGAAGAAGTTAGAATAATTAAAAAGAAGGAAAATATCTCTCTACCAAATACACTTGGTGAAAAAAT
The DNA here is from genome assembly GCF_000001405.40 of Homo sapiens. Classification (NCBI taxonomy): domain Eukaryota; kingdom Metazoa; phylum Chordata; class Mammalia; order Primates; family Hominidae; genus Homo; species Homo sapiens. Next base: position 57,188,275 of record NC_000002.12, read on the forward strand.
AACTATCAAAATTACAGGCTATAACACCGTACCATCAAAATCCTCCAGAACAGACTTGAAAAGCGAAATCAGAACGTTACCTTGGTATAGTTTCTGAATAGTACAGTGTGCCAATATTGTGGGGATAAAGAGGTAATAGTTTAGATATATACAGAAGTTTAATATTAATTGTTTTCATAGATGTTCATTGTCATGAATATTCATGTTGAAATAACTTTGGAAAATACAGAGAATAAAATCAGTCAGAGTATTATTTATTCCACCTCACATAATTCAATGGTACACAGTTAGTAGGGATTATAAATGCATATACTTTACTTTTTCTGTTGGTGTAAATAATTCAGTCACCTTTCCTCATAGTGAGTGCTTTGTATACTTCCTGGGTTTTGGCTCCAGAGCAGATAAACTTTAGCAGAAAGCTATGCTTCTCAGAAAAAATAAATGTATTTATCTAATACTCCTTTCTATCAGCTTTTTCATTTGGAGTTTATAGGTTATCTGAAATACCTCCAAGGATATTGTTATTGTACCTTTCAATTTGCTACTAGCAGTTGTCACTGTATGACTATTACTATGATTGAATTAAGGTGATAACTACTCTTTTTGTTAAAAAAAAAAAACTGATCTTAATTGGTGTTAATCTATTTCTTCTTTTCCTTGTCTGTAATATTGAATATTTATCCCATAAAAATCTATTTGTCTCCTCTGAATACACACACACACACAGACACACACACACTCTTCTGCTCCATCTGCCAGAGTGATAGAGAGGAAATAACAAATTCATCAAGATAATGGAAGAAAGTCTAGAATGTCTACAAGGCAATATTTTTCTAAGCATTAAACATACCAAAAGGCTGAAAGGTTTATATCCACAGAAATTTATTGTGATTCTATATATGAAAAAACAAATACCAGCATTGTATCTTGAAGGTGGTTGAATGCTTTCTTTGAATTTTGTGAAATAACTGCCTGAGTGGTAGCAGAGAGGTGAAGATTAATAATTTGAGATAGCATCTGAAAAAGAATGTCTGGAATAATCAAAAAGAAAATAAAGTACAGGTACCCAGGAAGGGCACTAACTAGACTGAGTTGAATTTTTTTTTTTTATATCTGATACAGTAGAGCAATACAAAAATCACTCTCACAGTTAGTAGTACTCCTGTCACTACCACTACTAACTGTGGTTAATGTAAACAGTAGAACATAAAATTATAGCACTAAGGATGATTCTGCTTATCATAATTACCATAATTAAATACTGAAGCACTTCTGTATACTTTGTGCATCACATAATTTATCATTTAATCCACATGACAAACCTATTAGGCGGTTTTCTTATCTGCTTTTAAATCTTGAGAAACCCGAGGTGACTGAAGATTCCTAGCCTCTCATCACTTGTAAGATGAAAAGTGTTTATTTGCCTCTTTGTAGTTGAAAATGTAATGAATCAATTGAAGAAGGAGAAAGTTGATGCTTTCCATATAAATCTGAGACCCAAAGAGCAGCTGATAGAAATTAGGAAGGACAAGAGTAATTAAGTACCTAAAATATATTTACAAATTTAATATCCACAGTAACCCTTTGAGGTAGGTACTATTATTATCCTCATTTTAAAAATGAGAGAGGTAAGGCAGTAAATTAATAAACCTGTAAATTGAGCAAGAATAGGGAGACTTAAAAACACATTAGATGAACAATTTAAATCTTCCAGACACAGATATTTAACCCAGCAAACTGGCTTCTGGAAATTACAAGTGAGAGATCAGGTACATGTACAATTCTGGAAAGAATCCGTATTGGATTTTTCTCAGAATTGCAAAAATGACTTGTGGAAAGGCACTTCTAATTTCCAGGCTAAGTCCTTTGACTTCAGCTAGCTCAATGTGGAGGTGCTATGTGCTACCCTGTGAACACCACTGTGAAATTCTCTGACCTTGATTATGATGGTGAATGGCAGACACAAAAAGTCACACATGATCAAAGAGATGTTACTTTGCCTAAGATGAACCTTTTTTCTTTCTGGTTATTTTTCTCAGGACCCATTTCTCAGGGTGCGATGTTTGTGACATCTACAGGGATGAGGAAATTCAGAATATTATTTTACATCATTTTCTGCTGTTTAGAGGAAGATGTCAGAGCAATAGTCTGTTATCAAAATTAAAATGACTGGTCTATTATGCTTGGCCTATATATGTTCATATGCTATAGAGCTATATTAAAACAACATATAACATTTTCATATCCTCAAATATCTCTCTTTAGTTTCCCAGTTTCACCACTTTGCAATGTTAACAAGAAAAAAAGGTAGTTTTATCCTAGAAAATAATGACAGAGAGAATTTTAAATAAAAGGAAGTAATCATGTCAAAAACTGAACAAATGAATGGAAACAAAAAATGACAAGTGTCCATTAAACTTCAATATGATGTCATTGGTGATTTAGAAGAATGTAAAATCAACAAATACAAAGACCAAACAGAGAACAACAGATAACGATGTAAAGAGAGGTAGCAAATATATATATATTATATAATATATATTATAGATATAATATATATTATAGATATTATAAATATATATTATAGATATTAGATATTATAGATATAATATATATAATATATATTATAGATATTATAGATATAGATATAATAGATATTATAGATATTATAGATATAATATATATTATAGATATTATAGATATAATATATATTATAGATATTATAGATATAATATATATTATAGATATTATAGATATAATATATATTATAGATATAATATATATTATAGATATTATAGATATAGATATTATAGATATTATATATATTATAGATATAATATATATTATAGATATTATAGATATAGATATTATAGATATAATATATATTATAGATATTATAGATATAATATATATTATAGATATTATAGATATAATATATATTATAGATATAAGATATATTATAGATATTACAGATATAATAGATATATTATAGATATTACAGATATAATAGATATATTATAGATATTACAGATATAGTAGATATATTATAGATATTACAGATATAGTAGATATATTATAGATATTATAGATATAGTAGATATATTATAGATATTATAGATATAGTAGATATAGATATTATAGATATAGTAGATATATTATAGATATTATAGATATAGTAGATATATTATAGATATTATAGATATAGTAGATATATTATAGATGTTATAGATATAGTAGATATATTATAGATATTATAGATATAGTAGATATATTATAGATATTATAGATATAATAGATATATTATAGATATAGATATAATATATTATAGATATTATAGATATAATATATTATAGATATTATAGATATTATAAATATATTATAGATATTATAGATATAATATATTATAGATATTATAGATATAATATATTATAGATATTATAGATATATTATAGATATTATAGATATAATAGATATATTATAGATATTATAGATATAATAGATATATTATGGATATTATAGATATAATAGATATATTATGGATATTATAGATATAATAGATATATTATGGATATTATAGATATAATAGATATATTATGGATATTATAGATATAATAGATATATTATGGATATTATAGATATAATAGATATATTATGGATATTATAGATATAATAGATATATTATGGATATTATAGATATAATAGATATATTATGGATATTATAGATATAATAGATATATTATGGATATAATAGATATATTATGGATATTATAGATATAATAGATATATTATAGATATAGATATAATAGATACAGATATTTAATCTATAATATATATATTATAGATATTATATATATTATAATATATAATTTCTATAATATATATATTATAGATATTATATATATTATAATATATAATTTCTATAATATATCTATTATATCTATAATATACCTATGTATCTATATAATATAATATATAATATATATATATATGTCAGGCCTCTGAGCCCAGGCCAGGCCATCGCATCCCCTGTGAATTGCACGTATACATCCAGATGGCCTAAAGTAACTGAAGATCCACAAAAGAAGTAAAAACAGCCTTAACTGGTGACATTCCACCATTGTGATTTGTTCCTGCCCCACCCTAACTGATCAATGTACTTTGTAATCTCCCCTACCCTTAAGAAGGTACTTTGTAGTCTCCTCCACCCTCAAGAAGATTCTTTGTAATTCTCCCCACCCTTGAGAATGTACTTTGTGAGATCTACCCCTGCCCACCAGAGAACAACCCCCTTTGACTGTAATTTTCCATCACCTTCCCAAATCCTATAAAATGGCCCCACCCCATCTCCCTTTGCTGACTCTCTTTTCAGACTCAGCCCACCTGCACCCAGGTGAAATAAACAGCTTTATTGCTCACACAAAGCCTGTTTGGTGGTCTCTTCACAGGGACGTGCATGAAATTTGGTGCCGTGACTCGGATCGGGGGACCTCCCTTGGGAGATCAATCCCCTGTCCTCCTGCTCTTTGCTCCATGAGAAAGATCCACCTACGACCTCAGGTCCTCAGACTGACCAGCCCAAGAAACATCTCACCAATTTCAAATCCGGTAAGCGGCCTCTTTTTAGTCTCTTCTCCAACCTCCCTCACTATCCCTCAACCTCTATATTATAATATATAATTTCTATAATATATCTATTATATCTATAATATACCTATGTATCTATATAATATAATATATAATATATATATATATGTCAGGCCTCTGAGCCCAGGCCAGGCCATCGCATCCCCTGTGAATTGCACGTATACATCCAGATGGCCTAAAGTAACTGAAGATCCACAAAAGAAGTAAAAACAGCCTTAACTGGTGACATTCCACCATTGTGATTTGTTCCTGCCCCACCCTAACTGATCAATGTACTTTGTAATCTCCCCTACCCTTAAGAAGGTACTTTGTAGTCTCCTCCACCCTCAAGAAGATTCTTTGTAATTCTCCCCACCCTTGAGAATGTACTTTGTGAGATCTACCCCTGCCCACCAGAGAACAACCCCCTTTGACTGTAATTTTCCATCACCTTCCCAAATCCTATAAAATGGCCCCACCCCATCTCCCTTTGCTGACTCTCTTTTCAGACTCAGCCCACCTGCACCCAGGTGAAATAAACAGCTTTATTGCTCACACAAAGCCTGTTTGGTGGTCTCTTCACAGGGACGTGCATGAAATTTGGTGCCGTGACTCGGATCGGGGGACCTCCCTTGGGAGATCAATCCCCTGTCCTCCTGCTCTTTGCTCCATGAGAAAGATCCACCTACGACCTCAGGTCCTCAGACTGACCAGCCCAAGAAACATCTCACCAATTTCAAATCCGGTAAGCGGCCTCTTTTTAGTCTCTTCTCCAACCTCCCTCACTATCCCTCAACCTCTTTCTCCTTTCAATCTTGGCACTACACTTCAATCTCTCCCTTCTCTTAATTTCAATTCCTTTCATTTTCTGGTAGAGACAAAAGAGACATGTTTTATCCGTGGACCCAAAACTCCGGCGCTGGTCACGGACTGGGAAGGCAGCCTTCCCTTGGTGTTTAATCATTGCAGGGACGCCTCTCTGATTATACACCCACGTTTCAAGGGTGTCAGACCATACAGGGATGCCTGCCTTGGTCCATCACCCTTAGCGGCAAGTCCCGCTTTCCTGGGGCAGGGGCAAGTACCCCTCAACCCCTTCTCCTTCACCCTTAGTGGCAAGTCCCGCTTTCCTGGGGCAGGGGCAAGTACCCCTTAACCCCTTCTCCTTCACCCTTAGCGGCAAGTCCTGCTTTGCTAGGGGGCAAGAACCCCCCACTCCCTTATTCCCACACCCTGACCTCTTATTTCCGTGCCCCAACCCCTTCTCTGCTTTTCTGGAGGTCAAGAACCCCCAACCCCTTCTCCGTGTCTCTACTCTTTTCTCTGGGCTTGCCTCCTTCACTGTGGGTAAGCTTCCACCTTCCATTCCTCCTTCTCCCTTAGCCTGTGTTCTCAAAAACTTAAAACCTCTTCAACTCACACCTGACCTAAAACCTAAATGCCTTATTTTCTTCTACAATGCTCCTTGACCCCAATACAAACTCAACAGTAGTTCCAAATAGCCCGAACACGGCACTTTCAATTTTTCCATCCTACAAGATATAAATAATTCTTGTCATAAAATGGGCAAATAGTCTGAGGTGCCTGACGTCCAGGCATTCTTTTATACATCAGTCCCTTCCTAGTCTCTGTGCCCAGTGCAACTCGTCCCAAATCTTCCTTCTTTCCCTACCGCCTGTCCCCTCAGTCCCAACCCCAAGCGTAGCTGAGTCTTTCTAATCTTCCTTTTCTACAGACCCATCTGACCTCTCCCCTCCTTGCCAGCCCAAGCTAGGTCCCAATTCTTCCTCAGCCTCCACTCCTCCACCCTGTAATCTTTTTATTGCCTCCCCTCCTCACACCTGGTCTGGCTTACAGTTTTGTTCTGTGACTAGTCCTCCCCCTCCTGCCCAGCAATTTATTCTTAAAAAGGTGGCTGGAGCTAAAGGCATAGTCAAGGTTAATGCTCCTTTTTCTTTATCCCAAATCAGATAGCGTTTAGGCTTTTTCATCAAATATAAAAACCCAGCCCAATTCATGGCTCGTTTGGCAGCAACCCTGAGAAGCTTTACAGCCCTAGACCCTAAAAGGTCAAAAGGCCATCTTATTCTCAATATACATTTTATTACCCAATCTGCTCCCGACATTAAATAAAACTCCAAAAATTAAATTCTGGCCCTCAAACCCCACAACAGGATTTAATTAACCTTGCCTTCAAGGTGTACAATAATAGAAAAAAGTTGCAATTCCTTGCCTCCACTGTGAGACAAACCCCAGCCACATCTCCAACACACAAGAACTTCCAAATGCCTGAACCGCAGTGGCCAGGCGTTCCTCCAGAACCTCCTCCCCCAGGAGCTTGCTACAAATGCCAGAAATCTGACCACCAGGCCAAGGAATGCCTGCAGCCCAGGATTCCTCCTAAGCCGTGTCCCATCTGTGTGGGACCCCACTGGAAATTGGACTGTTCAACTCACCTGGCAGCCACTCCCAGAGCCCCTGGAACTCTGGCCCAAGGCTCTCTGACTGACTCCTTCTCAGTTTAGCGGCTGAAGACTGATGCTGCCCGATTGCCTCCGAAGCCCCGTAGACCATCACGGACGCCGAGCTTTGGGTAACTCTCACAGTGGAAGGTAAGTCCATCCCCTTCTTAATCAATATGGAGGCTACCCACTCCACATTACCTTCTTTTCAAGGGCCTGTTTCCCTTGCCTCCATAACTGTTGTGGGTATTGACAGCCAGGCTTCTAAACCTCTTAAAACTCCCCAACTCTGGTCCAACTTAGACAATACTCTTTTAAGCACTCCTTTTAGTTATCCCCACCTGCCCAGTTCCCTTATTAGGCCGAGACACTTTAACTAAATTATCTGCTTCCCTGACTATTCCTGGACTATAGCCACATCTCATTGCTGCCCTTCTTCCCAATCCAAAGCCTCCTTTGCGTCCTCCCCTTATATCTCCCAACCTTAACCCACAAGTATAAGATACCTCTACTCCCTCCTTGGCGACCGATCATGCATCCCTTACCATCTCATTAAAACCTAATCACCCTTACCCCGCTCAATGTCAAGATCCCATCCCACAGCACGCTTTAAAAGGATTAAAGCCTGTTATCACTCGCCTGCTACAGCATGGGCTTCTAAAACCTATAAACTCTCCTTACCATTCCCCCATTTTACCTGTCCTAAAAACAGACAAGGCTTACAAGTTAGTTCAGAATCTGTGCCTTATCAACCAAATTGTTTTGCCTATCCACCCCGTGGTGCCAAACCCATATACTCTCCTATCCTCAATACCTCCCTCTACTACCCATTATTCTGTTCTGGATCTCAAACATGCTTTCCTTACTATTCCTTTGCACTCTTCATCCCAGCCTCTCTTTGCTTTCGCTTAGACTGACCCTGACACCCATTAGGCTCAGCAAATCACCTGGGCTGTACTGCCGCAAGGCTTCACAGACAGTCCCCATTACTTCAGTCAAGCCCAAATTTCATCCTCATCTGTTACCTATCTCAGCATAATTCTCATAAAAACACACGTGCTTTCCCTGCTGATCGTGTCCAATTAATCTCCCAAACCTCAATCCCTTACAAAACAACAACTCCTTTCCTTCCTAGGCATGGTTAGTGTGGTCAGAATTCTTACACAAGCGCCAGGACCGCACCCTGTAGCCTTTCTGTCCAAACTTGACCTTACTGTTTTAGCCTAGCACTCATGTCTGCGTGCAGCGGCTGCCACTGCTTTAATACTTTTAGAGGCCCTCAAAATCAAAAACTATGCTCAACTCACTCTCTACATTTCTCATAACTTCCAAAATCTATTTTCTTCCTCAAACCTGACGCATATACTTTCTGCTCCCCGGCTCCTTCAGCTGTACTCACTCTTTAAGTCCCACAATTACCATTGTTCCTGGCCCGGACTTCAATCTGGCCTCCCACATTATTCCTGATACCACACCTGACCCCCATGACTGTATCTCTCTGATCTACCTGATATTCATCCCATTTCCCATATTTCCTTCTTTACTGTTCCTCACCCTGATCACGCTTGATTTATTGATGGCAGTTCCACCAGGCCTAATCGCCACATACCAGCAAAGACAGGCTATGCTATAGTACAAGCCACTAGCCCGCCTCTCAGAACCTCTCATTTCCTTTCCATCGTGGAAATCTGTCCTCAAGGAAATAACTTCTCTGTGTTCCATCTGCTATTCTACTACTCCTCAGGGATTATTCAGGCCCCCTCCCTTTCCTACACACCAAGCTCGAGGATTTGCCCCCACCCAGGACGGGCAAATTAGCTTTACTCAACATGCCCGAGTCAGGAAACTAAAATACCTCTTAGTCCGAATAGACACTTTCACTGAATAAGTAAAGGCCTTTCCTACAGGGTCTAAGAAGGCCACCACAGTCATTTCTTTCCTTCTGTCAGACATAATTCCTCAGTTTAGCCTTCCCACCTCTATACAGTCTGATAACAGACCAGCCTTTATTAGTCAAATCAGCCAAGCAGTTTTTCAGGCTCTTAGTAGGTTTCAGTGAAACCTTTATATCCCTTACCGTCCTCCGTCTTCAAGAAAAGTAGAACGGACTAAAGGTCTTTTAAAAACACACCTCACCAAGCTCAGCCACCAACTTAAAAAGGACTGGACAATACTTTTACCACTTTTGCTTCTCAGAATTCAGGCCTGTCCTCAGAATGCTACAAGGTACAGCCCATTTAAGCTCCTGTATAGATGTTCCTTTTTATTAGGCCCCAGTCTCATTGGACACCAGACCAACTTAGACTGTGCCCCAAAAAAACTTGTCATCCCTACTATCTTTTGTCTAGTCATACTCCTATTCACCATTCTCAACTACTCATACATGCCCTGCTCTTGTTTACACTGCCGGTTTACACTGTTTCTCCAAGCCATCACAGCTGATATCTCCTGGTGCTAGCCCCAAAATGCCACTCTAAGCTCTTGAAGTAAATAAATAATCTTTGCTGGCAGGACTATGGTGAATCTCCTTAGGCACTCTCTAATCAGATGTCCTAGGTCCTCCCAATTCTTAGACCTTTTATACCTGTTTTTCTCCTTCTCTTATTCCATTTAGTTTCTCTATTCATCTAAAACCGTATCCAGGCCATCACCAATCATTCTATACGACAAATGTTTCTTCTTACATCCCCACAATATCACCTCTTACCACAAGACCTCCCTTCAGCTTAATCTCTCACACTCTAGGTTCCCACGCCGCCCCTAATCCCGCTTGAAGCAGCCCTGAGAAACATCGCCCATTCTCTCTCCATACTAGCCCCCAAAAATTTTCGCTGCCCCAACACTTCAACACTATTATTTTGTTTTATTTGTCTTATTAATATAAGAAGGCAGGAATGTCAGGCCTCTGAGCCCAGGCCAGGCCATCGCATCCCCTGTGAATTGCACGTATACATCCAGATGGCCTAAAGTAACTGAAGATCCACAAAAGAAGTAAAAACAGCCTTAACTGATGACATTCCACCATTGTGATTTGTTCCTGCCCCACCCTAACTGATCAATGTACTTTGTAATCTCCCCCACCCTTAAGAAGGTTCTTTGTAATTCTCCCCACCCTTGAGAATGTACTTTGTGAGATCCACCCCTGCCCACCAGAGAACAACCCCCTTTGACTGTAATTTTCCATTACCTTCCCAAATCCTATAAAATGGCCCCACCCCTATCTCCCTTCGCTGACTCTCTTTTCGGACTTAGCCCACCTGCACCCAGGTGAAATAAACAGCTTTTATTGCTCACACAAAGCCTGTTTGGTGGTCTCTTCACATGGACGCGCATGAAAAAATATATATATATATATAATTTTTTTTTTTTTTTTTTGAGATAGAGTATTGCTCTGTCCCCCAGGCTGGAGTGCAGTGGCACAGTCTCTGCTCACTGCAACCTCCGCCTCCTGGGTTCAAGCAATTCCCATGCTTCAGCCTCCTGAATAGCTAGGATTACAGGAGTCCACCACCACGCCTGGCTAATTATTTTTTCATTTTTTGTAGAGACAGGGTTTCATCATGATTGCCAGGCTGGTCTCAAACTGACCTCAATTGATCTGCCCTCCTCAGCTTCCCAAAGTGCTAGGATCACATGCGTGAGTCACTGAACCCAGCTTAAGTCTATATTCTTCTTTAAAATAATTCTGAAGGGGTAAGAGGTGAAAGAGATCACTAGCTAAAAATAGCAAAAAAGTGAATATAGTTTAGTTTCTTCTTGCTTTTTTTGTTTTCCTTTTAATGTTGGGAAAGTTTTGCACATGGAAGCAAGAGAAGCTGCAGTGCAAAGAGACTGACTGCTAAAGACAGCCTGGAGGAGGGCAATGGGTGTCATCCACAGCCGAGGGTCATAAATTTTGAATGACAAGAGGGGCATTATTTCCAAGGAAACTAAAATAAAGCCGAGAAAAGATGGCTGAATGGAAGTATATGGGGATGTTTGTGAGAATGAGAGGGTTTAAATGACTTAACATCTAATGGACTCAATAGTCATTGGGAAATAAGAGCCAAGGACATTTTCTGAGAGTGAGAAGAAGGTGAGGGGCAAGGCTGAAGGGAGTGGCAAAGGTATAAATTGCTTGAAGGGAAGGACTTCTGAAAAAAAAAAAAAAGGAGTATTTAACTAAGGCTGGAGATAATGAACATGTAATGACTTCAGGACAAACAATTTATTTTTTTCTCCAGGACTTAGTAACCTGGCTATAAAAGAGGAAATGAACAGTTGAGTTTATAGGAGATCGTTGTTTCTTTTTTGAATGCAGTGGGCAAGTACTTTTAGGTTACCTGTGCTAAATGTCGGTAAGGACAATGAATGAGAAAGATAAATTCAAGTACCTGTAGCTTTGGTGTCTAGTGAGTGGTTTAGGGGCAGAAGCTGTGTTTGAGTAACATTCTAGTTTCTCTGAAATCACACCTTGCACTTTTATACCTAACAAGGCAGAATTACCAAGTGGTTACCTGCGTGGGCACTGCAGTCAGAATGCACAGTTTCAAGCTCTGTCTCTGACGCTTACCAGCTGTGGAAAGCATGATCAGTTGCTCAAATTTTCAGTTTCCTTACCCTTAAAATAAAAATAAAAGTAATTGTGCAAACCTCACAGGGATTCATTAAATTAATACCTAAAATATTGCCTGCTTGATCACATTAAGCATTCCATAATTATTGTTCCTAATTAGATTTTATGACAATCTCTTTCTCAAATTCAATAGTTTCCAAAAAATAAAAGCAGAAAATTAAAAATATGGAGAATGAAGACTTTAAACAATTATTTGATTTTTCTATTAGTATTATAAATAGTACATGGAGTACTTCTTTTCTCAATTCCATTAATAATAACATGAGAATAAAGTTCGGGGTTAATTTTTTAAAAGCAGTTAGTTTGCTCCACTAGTGACAGAACCTATTATTGCCACTGACTCCATTTCTTTACACGTGGGCAAAATCTTAATTCATCTCTCTTGATCACTGCTCTTCCAATAGCTGAAAGTAGTTTTGTCACCAGCTCATTAGATTATTTGAAATTTCTAATTGAAATATAATATTTTAATGTCAAAAGGCCTGCATGTACTAGGTAGAACAGGGTAGTGAGATTTGAAGGGAATGCTTTTTCTTCTCTAATTAGAGGCAATGAAGTGCTTAATTAAGGATGTCTGGTTCATTCTTATGCACCTACTCATAGGACAAGTGAATACACAATCAACTCATAACTCTCCAGTGTTCTCTATTGTTTCATTTGACCACTGGTCTTATAAAAGGGAATGGTTCCAAAGTGAGTTAAAGAACTGAACTCACACCGAGAGTATATTCAGCAGCTGTGCTTTGAATAATTGGCCCAGCAACCTCAGCATCACCTGTTAGAAATAGAAAATCTCAGGTCTCATTTTATACCTATTGAAACAATTCTGCATTTCAAAAAGATACCTGAGTGATTCACATGCATAGTAAAATTTGAGAGGCATGGCCAATGACGACATTCATATTCTCTGGGAAAGTGAAGGCTGCATTAGGTCTCAGCATTCTGTCTTCCGCCTTTTTCCATTCCTTTAGTCTCTGACTAACTAGAAGGACTGTTAAAACACATCTGGAAATTTTGAGAGTCAGGAAGTTCTCCGCCTCTATAGGCACTGTCCAGAGGGTATTTTTTGTTAGTTCCTCCACATCTCCTCTTTTTTTTCCAGAACTGAGTATAAAAGGCCCTGTGTGTTCATATACCCAACACTTCACTTTGTTTCTGCTCATAATATGATAGATTTTTGGTTGGAGAAATAGGATGCTCATGCTGTGTGTACCAGTGCAGCTCATCGATTTTAGCAACCACAGCTTTTGCAAACAAAATCATAAAATATGAGTGAACATACAGTTTGAAGACCAGGGATAAATTTCCCTATGACAAGAACACTTTTTAAGCCCACAAATTTGTCCTGAGTGATATGTGCGTTATTAATCAAGACAGTTGTCAAGTTGTCTGGTTAAGTGGATCTAAGAGAAAAAGGAATGAGACAACAGCCTACATATTTGTTTAAAGTTATGAATTAAGTATTTCTTGTTCCATGTGTTTCACTAATTTGTCTATTCTTGACATTTAGAAAAGAAGAGGAAATAATACATTTGGTTTTGGAACAGGATTTGAGATGAGAATTGAGTTCAGAGCTGTGCTAATCATCTGAAACCTTCTTCAATGATAAATCAACTTTTTATTTTGAACCTATTTGATCAAACTAAAATCTCACAATTGAACATGAATAAAATTTTTTCTTCCTGAAATCTATATAACATACATCGAGTAACTTCTAGATGATATTTTCCCCTTGAGAAACAGGTTCTTTAAACATAGCAAATGGTGGGTTTCCCGTTACTATATCGTATCAATTTCTAGAACCAAATCATATTCTCCATGTTACTGTGCAGATTAATTGGACACCTTTTAAAGGATGACTTTTTTTGTGCCTGGATATATCTTCTGTGGATTAATTTCCATCTGAAAACTCACTTCAATGTTCAAGATAAAGGATTAAGTTGAGAAAAATAGTCAAAGTAGATTACATAATAACACTGCATGATCATGAATAATTTGTAGTAGTTCATCTGAGACTGCAACATTGTTATCCTATCAATTCAAACTTTAAATACTTGATAATCAGACTTTGGGAATCTAACAAATATTTGAGACTTGAGATTGAATGTCTACATTATAAGGGCAAATCTAAATGCTATGTTCCATGGTAAATTTGAGCAGTGCTTTTCAACCCTGGGAGGAAATCCAGTGTCCAAGCTCACCCCAGCTCAGCTGAATCAGAATCATTTGGTGGTGGGGTGGGGGTGGCCTATGCATCAATACTGAAAACAAATAAACTCAACTCTGATTCTAATTGCAGTCAAGGTTAAGATATACTTCCCTCTACTGGAGGACACTTATCGTCTTAGTATTTCATGTACATAAAATGCAACCCAAACTGCAGATTTCTAACAAGGAAATTACACCTATGTATTACACATAATGCCTCAGTATAAATTTCAAGTAATAAGTCATCTTACAACACTGTAATCACAAAATCTCTAGTTAAGTGAAATACTGGTTTCATATATGAAAAATGCATCCTGATGAAATATATGAACACATGTCTTCTGGTAAAGATCACTGATCTCATTGTTTCTCACTCTTATTGGGGCAATTGAGATTTCATTGCCTTTTAAATGTTATACAAGGGAAAATATAGTCTTGTAAACATTCTTCTAAAAAAATAGACTATAGTTTTAAGCTTGGGTGGCTCCATCCACAAAATAAATATTATAGCTGAAGTTCAAGATTTAAAAAGAATTGTTATGTTTTGTTTATCATAATAGCCGTTAACTAAAATATCATTATTTGTTTCATCTTACAATGCTCAGGGGGTTAAAATGGTTCACCAAATTTCATATTAAAGAATTGTTGGGGCCGGGCGCGGTGGCTCACGCCTGTAATCCCAGCACTTTGGGAGGCCGAGGCGGGCGGATCACGAGGTCAGGAGATCGAGACCATCCTGGCTAACACGGTGAAAACCCGTCTCTACTAAAAATACAAAAAATTAGCCGGGCGTGGTAGCAGGCGCCTGTAGTCCCAGCTACTCGGGAGGCTGAGGCAGGAGAATGGCGTGAACCCGGGAGGCGGAGCTTGCAGTGAGCCGAGATCGCTCCACTGCACTCCAGCCTGGGCAACAGAGCGAGACTCCGTCTCAAAAAAAAAAAAAAAAAAAAGAATTGTCGGATGACATTTTCGATAGCTGAGCTATTATCTCTGTTTATGACATTTTCTTTTTCTTTTTTTTCCTTTGAAGATGGAGTCTCGCTCTGTCACCCGGGCTGGAGTGCGATGGCATAATCTTGGTTCACGGCAACCTCCATCTCCCAAGTTCAAGCAATTCTCCTTCCTCAGCCTCCCAAGTAGCTGGGGCTACAGGTGCATGCCACGATGCCAGGCTAATTTTTGTATTTTTAATAGAGATGGGGTTTCCCCACATTGGCCAGGTTGGTCTCGAAATCCTGACCTCAGGTGATCTGCCCACCTTGGCCTCCCAGAGTGCTGCGATTATAGGCATGAGTCACCATGCCCAGCCTGTTTTTGATCTTTTCGATAGCTGACCTATTATCACTGTTTATGGAAATTAGCTTAGTGACTTATCCTAAGTTCTTGAGGAGGCACTAGAGAAAATATGTACTTTGTCTATAAGTTTAGCAGATTATTTTAGGAACTCTAGCTTCTCTGCAAAGTAGGTTTTATCTGACATACAAGGCAAAGGAAATATTAGGAAGTACACATACATGCTAATATATAGAGAGCCAAAATAAATAAAGCAACACATTATTTATATTTAAGAACTTTGCTTTGAAGACTTAGAAAGGCAAACAAAGAAAAAAAAATCCCACTCAAAAAGAAGTTTTAAGACTGTTGACTGTATATTCTACTTAAATTAAGTCACATATAATAGTTTCACTGATTTTAAATGAGTTAAAGGTGTTATCTAAAGTAAGGTAGGAAATATAGTGATTACTATTCTTTTTAAATGGGTCACTATAAAATCTAATAGTGCTAGTATAATTTAAAATCTATAGAAAAAGCAGACATTTTTTAAAAATGAGAATGGAGGTGGCTAAAGTATATACTGATAAAAAGGAAAATATAGATACAGATCCAAAGTTATATATATATATACATATATATATAAATACATATATATATAAAATAAACATTGTGTTTTTAATTCCTCTTCCAGTAATCATGTGTGTTTGCAGCCATTCCTCATTTATTCACAATGAAAAATTCAGGGAAGATGGGGTGGCTGATAACCCTAGGGAAGAAGAAAGAGGCTATGAGATGTTGGGAAGTCTCTACTGGATAGGTAGTAAAAATGGGAGGCTTTAAGAACTGAGGCTGTAGGTTCAGAAGATAATAGAAATGGAGAGAAGGAAAACAGGCAGTAAGACATTGATGTTTTGACCCCTAATCTATGGGTTGATGTCTTGGAGGGGGTCAAGGAGTGTACTGGATAGTTTGAGAGGAACCATTTCTATGTATAATGCTGATGTGGTGACAAACATCTAAGTTGACACCGCGGCCTGGGATGGCAGCTCCTTAGAGCCCTCCAGCTCTCGTAAGGAATCCAGAAGTTCCCACATGCCCTGTGGAGAGCTAGGGGGAGCTGGCTGATGGTGCTGACTGGCCAGCCAGCAGAGAGTGTCACAGTGGCTCAAGAGAAGGGATCCTGCAGCTCTGCTATACTAGGTAGCACATTCAGGTTTAGGATGAAAAAAGTGTCTGGCAATTCTCCAGAGAAACCAAAGCAAAAGAGAACTAGGATGGAGCCTGACTGGCTGATGGATTATTAACAGTTACCAGGTGCAGAGAACCAGCAGATGCTGGGAGCTGTAGCAGTGATTAAGGCAAAAAATACCACTGCTGCAGAGGACAGTGAGGATCCTATAAGCTCCTCCATAAACCAAAGTCCCTCTGTATAAAGAGAAGGGAAACAGCCATAAAACAACATTGAAAATCAACAAGCTGAGCTATTCAGAAACAGTCTATTGAAACACAGAAGTTACCACATGACTACTTGCTAAGTTTAAAGTTTAATTTTCAATGCTCCAGAGGGTAGATGGTGAGGGGCAGGGTTGAGAACAGTGAGGGTAGTAACAGCAGTTACAGATAATAAAAATGCACATGTTAGTGTGTCTGGCGAGTGACTTCCCTACATATATTTTTTCATAAGCAAGTTTTTCTTTTAAAATTTTATGAAGTTAATTATAGGTATCTTTTCACATTTCAGCTTCTGATAAAGTCTTGGTCATAAGAAAACAGTGAGGTAACTGAATTTTGCTTCAATTTATTTTTTCTTCCTAATCACCTTGCAAGTGGGCTTTATAATTTCAGAGCTAGTAATAGTGATGACATATTTGTGCTTTATTGCTATGGCAACAGTGCTTCTCCTGAGACAAGGGCCATGTATTTTTGGTTCTCTGTTCTAAAATCACATGTTTACCAACAGATACAGCTTTGTGATTGTGGCTTTCAATTTGATTGCCCCGAGCAATGTGTTGTGGATACTACTGTATTGCCCAGGTCTTCCCATCAGGATTGAGGCTGTTTTCACCCAGTTTTAAGGAGTGCTGTTGTCAAAAAAACCTTCAACAGTCAACCCTTTGGAATTGCCTTCAGCTGAAAAAAAGCCTCCTTGTACAAGGTCATATTGCCGTAGCAGTCACAGCTTAAATCCAGTGACTGGTAAATTCTGGGGTTTAAACCACCCCAAATCAAGACAACTCTGAAGATCTACCCACGCTTCAGAGCTCACCAGGGTTCCTCCATTTAAGCCTAATTCCTTTTCCTCTTCCCAGTGTTAATTCTAAGAGCACTACCTACTAAACCTCCTGTATGCTAATTTCATTTTAGAGTCTGCTTCATCAATAACCTGACCTGCAACAGTTGCTTCTAGTAGTAGCCTGAGAAATCAGATGGATTGGAACATTTGCCAGCCAGCTGACAATGAAGGCCAAACCACTGGTGGTAGACAGAACTTGGATAGGTTCTGTAACAAGATTTTGGTGCAATTGTCAAAATGTTTATCAGCAATAAACTGGAGAGATAAACCAGGAGAAGCAATGTATCATGTGCTTAAGAAATACAGGATAAATAGTATTGATAAGGATAACTATTCTAGGGGTAATTGATGCTCTGGAGAAAAAAAAGGAAAGTCTGGGGGTTATTATCTATTAAAAAGGTAACTGAATGTCAGAGAGACTTCTTGGAAGCACTTAACAGTCTTTTATTTCCTACATACTAAGGACAGAGAAAGCTGAGGACTAGGAAGAGAGCCAAATGGGAATAGCACAGTTCTAATAAAGGTTTAACATTTAAGCTAGACAAATCTTATATGTCAAATTCAAAGTCCTGATTGGGAAAAAATGGGACCTTGACATAAGGGATGGGGTCATATGGGTGCATGCCCTTGAAAATATTGAATCTCCAAATTCCATTGAACTCTTTGGAGCTGTAGAAGTGGCACATTTCTCTCTGTTAAAGGCTAGGGTCCCACTTGTCTTAAAGAAGGCCTCTCTCCTGCAAGACATCATGTGCCTTCCTCAAAATCTGGACCTCGCTTTCCTCTTAAGTAAAAAGTCAATAAGCAGAGATGTCACACCATAATCTGGTCATGGAAGTGACAAGCTTGTGAAGGGAGGTAGGGAGCAATATCCCAAAGAGCTGCAGGACCAAGACAGCTGGTCCCACAGAGGAACCGTGAAAACAAAATTCAGGGAGAAGATGAAATTATATATGGAAGAGTTTATCTATACAGAAGAACTGTTGTTTTAAAAACATTCTGGCAAAACACTTTGGGAAAGACTCCAAAAGACAATGCTAGGATGTTTCTTAGCAACTTGGAGAAAATGTGGCCCACTATAAGTAGAATAGGAGTGTCAATATTGCTATGGCAGATGGTAGTAAAAGAGGGGAAATAGTTTGGAAAAATGGGCATGCCAGAGTGGACATTTCATGTAAGCCTGGGCAAACTGCTAGATGACTATGCTCTCAGCAGGGCCAGGAAAATACTTCATTTAACAAAGTAATGAGGAATATGGTAGTGAAAAGCCTACCAGCATTAGAACCTACAGCCTAACTGTGGAGTACAATTTATGAGAGGAAACATGTTAGGGAAATGGTCTCCTTAATAAGAGTGGGGATGATAACATTTCAAAATAATGGACTCTAGGTGGTGGCTTTTAACAGTTTAAAACAAGACAGTTTCAATTAGTGTTGAATTAGTGTTGAAAGTTGAAATATTGCCTAGAGGAGCATGGCAGGCAGAGAGCTGCAGATATGGCTGATAGAACACACTTTTCTTAGAGTCAAGATAGATGTGCATTCAATGATAGCATTGCCCAATATTTACAACAACTCCAGGAAGGCTGGTCAGGAGATTAAAGGCAGTCCTCTTAACAAAATGTCACAATCTCTTGTCCAATTTCCAGATGCGAGTCAGTGTTCCAACCCTTGAACCCAATGAATGAAGAACAAGCTTGGTTCCCAAGAGAAAGTACCCTGGTAGCATTCCAGCAATTACACACTGTAATGATTACTTCTTTTCCCAAAGAGCACTATAACCATTTGCTTAAATAACTGCACACTGGGAAAAGAATACCCAAACCTAATATTCTGAGGATTGTTGCATGTAAGTACTGAGTTGCCAATGATATCCATGAACACAAATTATCTCACCTTCATGGTTTGCATGTGAGGCTAGGAATATATGAAGGCCAGGTAATAAATGGGATCCTGGTGCAAGTTCAGCTTGAGTGTGTCTACTGGTTCCATGACTCATCAAAAGGAAGAGCCCCGAACCCCTCCACCACCAACACTGACACAATAGTGACAATATCATATTCCAGGTAAAACTGCAGAGATTGATACTATCTTATAAATAGAAAGGAGACAGAGGTGGCGTCTTTATCATATCTCCTTTCAGTTACCAAGTCTGGCCCTATAAAACCAAAGAGATCCTCGAAAATACCGTAGATTACCACAAACTCAGCCAAGCAGTATCCCCACATCAAGCTGTTGTAGAAGAGGTGGTTATCTTGGCTAGAGAAGATTAATGTCACTTCATGTATATGGTATTTAGCCACTAATCTCCCAAAATGTTCTTTTCCATCCCTACCAGAAAAGAATATCAGAAACAGTTAATATTCATTTGGAATAGATAACAGTATTCATTTTTCAGTCTTGCATCAAAGCTTTGCTAACTCTCCTACTGTCTGTTATAATACGGTCTGAAGAAACCTCGACTATGTCTATATCATGTAGAATATCAGACCATTTTCACTATACTGACAGCATCATGGTAATAAATATGTATAATCAGGAAATGGCAAGTACAATAAAAGCCTTGGTAAGACACATGTGATTCAAAAGATGTAAAGTGAGCCCGATGGTGATTCACAGGTTTGCTATCAATAAATTTGTAAGGGTCTAGTGGTCCAGAACAGACTGGGACATTAGTTTCAAAGAACAAGATAGATTATTCCACCTCACACTTTCACCACAAAGAAAAGAAAGTTCAATCCCTGATAGGCTGATAAGTTTTCTTGAGTTTTGGCAGCAACATATTCTACAGATGACAGCATTTTCCAAAGCTCCATCCTATGCACCCAGTGGCATAGAGAGCTTCCAACACTGAATAGGACTCATAATTCAGTAGCCTCTAATCGTAGGTAGTATCTGTAGTGAAAGAGGTATCGTGTGGAGTATATGGCAATCTGTAACACAACAGTCACAATATAGACTAAGAAGTTTCTGGAGAAAGACCATACCATCTGCATCAGACTTTTGACATAAATATATAAGTTTTTAATAATTTAATTCAATAATTTAATACAAATATACTATTTGTATTATAGTAAATATAAATACCATATAAATTTAATGCAATTATTACATCTAGACCTAGATATAGTTATACAGATATCTATACCTATTCATGTATCTGTATCTACATATCTATATCTAGCAGGCTGTATTTGACCACCTACATCAAGTATGAAAACACCCTGATTGAAATACAAAAACCCCTTTAGTTTACCATTTATCCCACACTTGAGAATATTTTAGAGGTCTTCAGATGCAATTAGTTCAAAGTGTTCACTTGCATGAAGAATGGTGGTTTATTAGAAAACATAAAAGTTTGATTTATGAAAACCCTGTGTGTAAGATGACCAGATGTTCTGTTAATGGTAGCTGCTCAACCAGCTCCTAGGTATTCAGATTACCCCTCTCAGTGATCCTTCTTTCAAACAGCATACTTTTCACTTCCTATGTAGCATCTCTACCCTTGGACCAGTATTTGACTAGAGGACCCTGAGGCTCATTGTCTTATCTCCCTGTCTTTTCTCTCCAATGCTCTGTCTATGTTTCCATTTGCCTCTTTATACAAAGACCCTCTGCTCTCCATGCTTCTCTGGCTCTTCAGATGCTGTATCTGTAACTCATGTCATTACCATGAGAGAACTAGTTACCCTTTTATTTTATGTCAAAGAGGGATCATTTTCTAGAAGTAAGTTTCTCCAAACCTATTGTTTGGAGGATGAGGGGAGATGTTTGTTTTCCATTATGGGCAGCTGTCTCACCCCACAACATGACCCTTTACAATGACTTAAACAACTCTTGATATAGAAAAAAAAATGACTTCTCCAGAAAAGTCTCATACAATGACTTTTACCAGAAAAGAATATCAGAAACAGTTATTTTATTTATCAACTTTATTTATTGACAAGAGTGAAAGATCACAGTCAACTCTACTCTTTTTCCAAAGACCTGTTTACATCACACAGAGATAACTAAAATACGTCATTCCAGAGATTATCCTCGGCCTTTAAACTTATAATTCCCATTGCCTATCCAAAATAAAAGCTTTCTTCTATACAACATTACAATAGAACTATTTGAAAAATAGTTGCTTGGGCAGTAAAAACATTCCCAGTTACTTCCCCCAGTAACTATGAAAAGCCTCCGATTTCTCCAAGGCAAATACTGTTTTCCAGTTCATTTGCACAATAGGCTTCCTCTTAGCTTAGCTTTGGCCACGCCGAGTCTCAAAGGTATTCAGCAGAGCCCTGGCTTTATTTGTATTCCTGCCTCTGTTAATCTATTCTTCCAACAGATCTTCCTTTTATGCACATTTAAAAAAACCGCAAATAATCACTTTGAGTGCACAGAGAATGAGATAGGATTTTAGTTTATATATAAACAGAAAATACCAACACATTTTTTAAAAAAGAATTAGAAAGACTAAGGAAAGAATATGTCAGAGGGGCAGGTGTTCAACGTTGTTGCACATTACAAAAATGTGATGAGTTTTAAAACACCCATGCCTGGGTCCCATCTCTGGAGGCTCTGATTTAATTGGTTTGGAGATGCAACTCAGGAATCCAGGTTTTCCAAAAGATTACCAATTCTAAGTAAAGAACCATTTCTATACACCATACGATTAGTCCCAAAGTCTCTTGCATGGCTTTTCTTCTTCTGAATATATTTGAATATCCTCTCTTCAGTTTTCCCTTAACTGTTTTCTTATTGTAACCATTCTAAGGCTCTTTCCCCATTCATTATGCCAAAAGAAACTCAGCATTCCCATATGCCTTTGGTTAAAAACATCAATTTTCAAGTCTAGTTTGGCTCTAATCTTCTCTGCATAACTTTAGAGAACATATCAAAAGTATTATTCCTCTTTTGACTTTTTGCTAAACTATTATTTATACTTCTTATTGCAGTTTGCCTAACTCAGAAGAAGTTGTTGACAACATTGCTTTGGCACCTTACAAGGAGTGACTTATATATTGGATTGCCTTCTTATACTCCCCAGAAAGAGGTAACCATTCCTCTCTGTGGGTTTTTGTTGCAACCGTTTCCTAAAATATTTTACCTGAATATTTGGGAGACATTTTTAAGAGTAATCATAAACTAATGAAAAAAATGCTAAAATTAAAATTAGTTAAAATAAAATTGGCATTGTATTAAAAACAAAAGGAAGTAATGATATGAATGCATTCTTTTTCAGACTCCATGGTGAGCCTGTTGCTAGTGGGTCTATAAATATCCTCCTGGAGGGAAAAAATGAGGTTTGGAGAGATAACTTCTATTTCTAGACTAGAAGATAACCAGCACAGGGGGGCAGGATTTTTATAGACTGCATGTAGAATAGCAGAGAGGAATGGTTGCATAAGTAAAGTATTGATAATTTTTTCTTTTCTTTTCTTTTTTTTTTTTTTTTTTTTTTTGAGACTAAGTCTCGCTCTGTCACCCACGCTGGAGTGCAGTAGCGCGATCTTGGCTCACTGCAAGCTCCACCTCCCAGGTTCACACCATTCTCCTGCCTCAGCCTTCCGAGTAGCTGGAACTACAGGTGCCCGCCACCACGTCTGGCTAATTTTTTTGTATTTTTAGTAGAGACGGGGTTTCACTCATGTTAGCCAGGATGGTCTCCATCTCCTGACCTCGTTATCCGCCCGCCTTGGCCTCCCCAAAGTGCTGGGATTACAGGCGTGAGTCACCGCGCCCGGCCTAATAATTTCTTATTGGGCAGAGTCTCAATGGGGCCTTCAGAAGAGGTGGAGAAAGGTACTAAACACTTAGGCACCTACAAGCCTTTTTCCCTGTTGCATTCTCTTCTTTTCTTTCCCCATTCTACTTTCCTCCCTTCCTTCAGTGAAGGCTCTTCTCCCTTTCCTGCTTTTCTCTCAAGGACCTCAGATATTCTTAAAAGCCAGAAAGGTCATTTGTTTGTGGACAATCTCTGCTTTCATTCATGCTATCAAAATCTCCTTGGGAAAAAAACAGAACAGAATGATGAATACGTTCTTAGTAAAGGGAAAGTAAAATATATGTAAAATAAAGTCTCAATAACTTAGGACCATATGTTATAAAACATTTCTTCTCAATAATACTCTAAGGTATATATTAAGAAATAAAAACAACTTGGTCTCCAAATATTTAGTGAGTATAAATATGAATGAACCCACTGATGAAAAATCTAGTTCTATAACTTGTGGTCACTTATCTGTGCCTTGGATTTCCTGCTTATAAAATGAGGGTGTTAGGTGACCTCTGAGGACCCTACCAGCCCCAAAACTGCTTCTGTGTTATTGAAATTGTGTGAAAAAAACACTCAGTGGAAAAGCAACTTATAAAATTTTTAACTTATTCCAGCCAGTGATTTTTCATCTTTGCAGGTTTTATGTCAGGATGGGAACAGATGCCATTTGACTTTGTAATTTAGGTTTAATTGATTTACAGGCTCATGATACCCTGCAGTGCACTGACTTCTCCAAGCAGGAGAAAATTGCTGCTCTAGAATAAGTTTAAACTCTCTGAGATGAAATTATGCTTCTGTTTCAAGCTGAAATCGCTTTTGCCTTCCTGACTATCCTAAGGCCTGCGTGTGACCCACTTTTTCTCTGCTCATATTCCCTGTCTTCTTACGCCCTTTTTCAGCATCCTTCATCTTCTCTTTTGAGAAAACTCTGAAATATGTTTCTCCAAATGCCTTTTCTGAGTTAATCGTGATTTTCTATTTGCTTGCAGGAAATCTCTTCTTTTGTGATCCCTAAAGACTAAAACTCAACACATACAAGATGGGACTCATTTTCTCTTCCTTCATTCTACTCTGCCATTTTTTCTGTATTATCATCTGCATTTTCTCAAATCACAAGGACTGGAAAACTTTTGTTATCAAGTCAGAATTCTACATTTCTCATGCCTCCCTATCTGTAATGAAGTTCCAGAATAGCACAAAAGCTAAGAGCACCAGCTCTGGAATCAAACTGCCTGGGTTCAAATCTCAGTTCCCCTGCTTCACAGCTGTGTGGTCTTGGGCCCCAGTTATCTCTCTGTGAAACAGAACCTTCTCTTAGGCTTGCCATGAGGGTAAGATTAAATAATGCATGTGAAGCCCTTGACACAGAGTAGTCGCCTAATAAATTAGAACTACTATCCTACTTAACTCCCAAACTTCTCAAATCTCCATTCCCTCTTGTACTAACATAACAAGAACTTTGGTCTCACACATAACCTTTTCACTGGTTCCATCTTTCGTCATCTTAACCACCTACTTATCAGTCTACAGCTTCTCATTTCTAACTGAAGAGCCTCCCAATTTTTCCTTTTTTTTTTTTTTTTTTTTTTTTACAATTCAAGAGTCCTCATGGCAGGGTCACAATGTCCTTTTTCAAATTTCTTTACTACAGCCTATTGCCTGTAACTTCAATACAATTTCTAATATTTGCTTTCTTCCAACCATGCTGACTAATTTGCCCATATTCTTGAATTTATTCTTATATGTTCTCCCTGCCAATATCTCCCTACCTCTACCCATATGGTACCCATTTCATGTAGGAGCTCAAATGCCGCTTAAGTCTTTACATCCCTCATCGTCTGGGAGTTTGTTTTCCCACCTGTAATTCCCATAATTAACCTGTCTTTCACTTAGGATGCTCGTCAACTTTCTCCCTTTCATTAAACTTGCTCATGTACCTAATTCATCTTCCTTATGTACTTACAAACTACTTTGGAGAAGAAACCATTTCTTTTCATATATGTATACTCCATGTTAATATTCATCGAAAATGTAAATGGGCAACATTTTAAAGAATGAAGAAACTAAAGAAGTAAATAAACAATGAATGAATAAATGAATTAATGAGCTATCAGACAAAAATTATTTCCCAGCATGTGCTTCATAAATGGAGAATAAATTGGCAAGGCAAAACACCAAAAAATTATAAAAGAGAATTATTTTTTTTTTTTTGAGACAAAATCTCACTCTGTTACCCAGGCTGGAGTGCAGTGGCTCAATCTCCGCTCACTGCAAGCTCCACCTCCCAGGTTCACGCCATTCTCCTGCGTCAGCTTCCCAAGTAGCTGGGACTACAGGCACCTGCCACCACGCCTGGTTAGTTTTTTGCATTTTTAGTAGAGATGGGGTTTCACCATGTTAGCCAGGATGGTTTCAATCTGACCTCATGATCCGCCTGCCTCAGCTTCCCAAAGTGCTGGGATTACAGGCATGAGCCAACACCCCTGGTCATAAAGGAGAAATTTTTAAAAAGTGAACATTAATGCAAGAAGTTATAATGTAAATATTATCACTGAAGGAGTGAGACAAATTGTAAAAGAGAGAAAGTCAGCCAGGGTAATTAAGAGTGATTAAGTTTTCAATCTACTACTCATCAGTTTTGTTGTGTTCACAACTATATGTACATGTAATTTTACCCTATTTCAATACTTATTGAATTCAGCCATAAACCACTCTACATAATAAAATACTAATTTCCCATAATATAATACATTGCGTTGTAGTTTCCACGTGTTTTTATGTATTCTGGCTTATTGTTAATTCTTCACAATGATATGGTATTTGTATTTTCTATATTCAACCAAGATAATTGACTATCAAAATTATTAATTTGCCCACCTACATGGTAAACTAAGATCTGAGACTCAGATCCAGGACTTACAAATTAAAATCCAAGTTGTTTCATTTTTTTTTTCATTCCTGCAACCCATTTAGGGTAGATGTTACCTATTCAAAGTCAGCAAAACAAAATGATAGAGCTGCATGTTCTGTCTGTAAAAATCCACTCTTACTCTGACCAATGCTATTTTTAAACAATGTAGCAAGTTCAATTTCTCAGGGCTGAATATCAACGTTTTACATGCTGCTAGTGCTATCACTGACAAGAAGTAATGGCTTCTTTACCGATTTCTCACCAGAGTATAACAAGTCTAGGATGGAGAATCCATGCTGCCAACTTGCTCTGAGGAATTGTGTTCTTCCTCTATAATTTGTTTACTTCCTCCCTGGAGTCCATTATCTCTGGCTGATTTTAGTCTTTAAAAGAAGACAGAGGTAGCAGCAAGCATATGAATGTTTGCTGACAAATGTTGCTTTATTGTTCTGTAACACAAAACAATAATACATGCAGGAGCCGTATGTTGAAATACAATGAGATAAATCATTATTTTTTTAATGTAAAGAATATTGGAAACTTAAAGTATTTATTTAGAATTTCTTAGTCTAGGTGAAACAAACATAATAATTTACTAATGAATTTGATTTTCTCTACATAAAATTATACATCTTATTTGCTTGCCTAAAGAGATGAATTTTTCTCTCTGCACTAACTGTAGAATTATGTAAATCAGTTTTTATTTACATATTCTTAAAATATCTAATCAAAATTAAATGTAATTAAATTGTATAATTGAGCATACTAAACTAATAATTTGAGAATCCTGAAAATGAACAAATTTCAAATACGTCACAAGAAATTTAGCCAAACAGGTGAAAAATCTGTACATTGAAAACTATAAAACGTTGATGAAAATAGTTGAAGAAATAAATAAAAAGACATCCTTTGTTCATGGATTGAAAGAATTAATATTTTTAAAGTATCCATACTATCCAACTTAATTTATAGATTCAATATAATTTCTATAAAAATTCTAATGTAATTTGTCACAGGAATAGAAAAAGCAATTCTAAAATTTATATGGAACCAGAAAAAGCCTCAAATAACCAAAGAAATCTTAAGCAAAAAGAATTAAGCCAAAGTCATCACACTTCCTTACTGCAAAATATATTATAAAGTTCTTGTAATCAAAACACATGGTGATGGCATAAAAACAGACTCATTGGCCAATGAGCAGGATAGGAAGTTGAGAAATAAACCAAGATATCTACAGTCAATTGATTTCAACAAGGATGCCAAGAACACAAAAGACGATACGCAAATTGCCACAGATACATGAAAAAATGCTCAACACCTCTAATCATCAGGGAAATACCAATTAAAACCACAGTGAGATATCACCTTGCACCTGGTAGTGTGGCTACTATTAAAAGGATAGATGATAACAAGAGTTTGCAAGGATGTGGTTAACAGGGAACCCTTGTACACTGTTGTTGAGAATGTAAATTAGTACAGCCACTTTGGAGGACAGTATGGAGGTTACTTAAAAAACTGAAAATATAATAACCATATGATCCAGCAATTTCACTTCTGAATATATATCCAAAGGAATTTAAAAATTGGTATGTTGAAGAGATATCTGCATTCTCATATTTATTTCATCATTATTCACAATACACAAGATATGGAAGCAATCTAAGTGTCCATTAGGTTTTGAATGGATAAACAAAATTTGGTAAATGATATAATGGAATAATATATATCCTTAAAAAGGAAAGAAATTCTGTAATTCTGTAATTTGTGACAACAGAAATGGAACTGCTGGACATTATGCTAAGTTAAATAAGCCAAGCACAGAAAGACAAATACTGTATGATCTCACTTATATGTGTAAACTAGAAAAGTCAGTTTCATAGAAACAGAGAGTAGTAGACAGGTGATGATAAGACCCTGGGGGTGAGGGAGAGGTTTGGAAAAAAATATGTTGATCAAAGGGTACAAAGTCTCAGACTGGAGGAATACATTTTATTGATTAATTGTACCATATGGTAACAATTAATAATAATTTATTGTATATTTCAAAATTGCTAAAAGAACAGATGTTTAACATTCTCACCCCCCAAAAAAGATAAATTGGTCAGGTGATGAATATGTTATTTAGGTTGATTAAACCTTTCTAGTTCAAAATATCACATAGTACCCATCAACATACACAATTTTTAAGAAGTAAGGAACAAGACAAAATTCTGAAAGAGTGAAGGAATAATCAATCTGATAGTCAACCTCTCAGCAAAGAGTCTCTCATTTAGGACTATGTATAAAACTAAATTTAAAATTGATAGCAGAGGTGACCTGCCTGAAGTGGCCACTCCCAAGATGCCACAGGCTGCAGTGGGGGAGGCATGGCTGGGCTGCATGCTCCATGGAGCCCACAGGAGCTGGGACCAGACAGGAGTCTTACCTTCCCAGGTGCAGTTGCAGCTGCTCAAGTCGTGGCTGCAGACCCAGGCCTCCTGTTCCTTTGGAGGCCAGGAGCAAGGAGGAGCCCCACCCTCCCAGGTGCAGCTGTAGCTGCCCAAGCCACAGCTGTGGAATGGGCCTCCCTGTGCACTTGGGGGCCAGGAGCAGGCAGGAGCCCCAACCTCTAGGCACAGTTGCAGCTGCCCAAGCTACAGCTGTGGACCTGGGCATCTCTGCACTCTTGGGGGCCTAGGAAGGTCCCCCCTATACCTGCAGGCTCAGAGGTGTCTGATCCTGCTGCCTGGCCTCTCCCTCCTCCTGGCACCTGCTCTGATCTTGGGAGCAAGTTTGGGGCCAAGCCCAGGTGCTGTCACAGCCAAGCTGTGTGTGTACATGCTCAGGGCAGTGATAACATGCCAGCCCCCTGCCGCCTCAGGCTCCTCTGAACTCTGGGCACCGACAAGCATGGGAGGGAGCTTGGGGGGTGCTAAAGGCAGCTCATTGCTAGCCTGTAGGTGCCCCCTGAGCATGAACAGCCTGAAAACCATGAATAGAGGCAGGAGGCAGACAGCCTTCTGGGTGGAAAGGGCCAGGTCCCAGTGAAGTCTCACCTTCAAGCTGGGGAAGCCCTGAAGCCTGGGGATCAGGCTGCCAGTCCTGCAGACTGGAGTGGGAACTTACGGTGCTTTTTCCAGGCCTGCCCATGGACCAATCAGCACACACTTTCTCTCCTGTGAAGCCCATAAAAACCCTAGGCTCAGCCAGACATGAGGAGAAGACAGGATGACCAGCTATGGAAAGAAGCTACCCACTCCAGGGTCTCCTCTCTGCTGAAAGCTGAGGAGATGACAGGATGACCAGCTGTGGAGAGGAGTTACCCACCAGGGTCTCCTCTCTGCTGAAAGCTGAAGAGATGACAGGACAATCAGCTGCAGAGAGAAGCAACACACTCCAGGTCTCTTCTCTGCTGAGAGATGAAGAGATGACAGGACTACCAGCTGCAGAGAGGAGCTACCAACCCCAGGGTCTCCTCTCTGCTGAGAGCTGAACACTCATCAGGACACTCTGCCTGAGGAGAGGAGCTACCCAATGTAGGTCTCCTCTGAGTTGATCTGTCACTCAGTAAAGCTCCTCGTTGCCTTGCTCACCCTCCACTTGTCCATATACATTATTCTTTCAGGATGCAGGACAAGAACTCAGCATCCACCAAATGGTGGGGCTGAAAGAGCTGTAACACAAACAGGCTGAAATACAACCCTTGCTTGCCACATTGTGGGTGACAAGGAGGGAAGAGAGAAGGAAAAAAGAGCTGTGGCCCTTTGGGGAGCCCAGACATAGGAGCTCCCTGAGCGAGGGCTGTCACATCCACTTTGGGGCTCTGCAGTTGATGTCATCTCCAAGATTCTGAGTGCTACCATGTTCTCCAGTGCCAGCCATGGAAGCTGCTTGTGATTCACCCGATCCAGCCACAGCCTCACAGAGAGACAGTACCCATACTGGCACCTGGAGCTGACTACCCTGCCCCGGCAGGCATGCCTGGCTTTGCACAGTGGCCAGACCCCATGCTTGCTCACACACCCCTTGCTGCTCTGTGTCTGGCTCACTCTTGGCAGGTGTGGGATGCAGGCCAGTAGCTTAAGCCAAGTGCAGCCTGCCTGGCCAAGTGGGCAGAACAAGCCCAGCAGGCCAGAGCAAAACCCAGGCAAAGGCACCTTGGCAAAGAAGTTTCAGGCTGGTGAAGTGACATCCCCAGAATCCTGTTACTAAATCACATCCTGTGAGAAACATTTGTTTTGCTCCTGAAAGGACTTAAAATTGTCAAAAATAGAAAAAAATCTTACTGGCATATTTTGACCTTACTCCACATCCTATTTTCCAGTGTATAGTCTCAGAATTATCAATGACAAGGGAACTGAACAGTGATTCTTCTGTTATTAACTGAACAAGAACAATATATTGTCTCTTCCTTCACACCCCACATCTCACATATATGTTTATTTTTATATATAGATTGCAACATACACACAGAGAATAGAAATTAAGTTGTAAAATCACATTTTGAGGGGTGGTATACCTGAAATGCTAATAAAAATGCTGTCTAGTTTGGGCATAAAAGTACCACTGACTGTAGTGCATGATGGGAAATATCTTTTTTGTTTAATCTAGGAAGCTGCTCAGTGATGAAGTCTATCAGAAACTAGCAAACATACTGTATTTGAAGTCTATTAACAGTAGTGACTGGTGTAAGTGTAACATATCAATAATTCTTCTATATTGTAGAATTGCAAATTGTAAATACTGCCAACATACAATATGTTAAAATGTCCAGGGCTTATGAAGAGCCCAATCCAGCACCTAATAGCAATTTTGAGTTTGTGATAGACTCCTTATTTTTCAAGATTCAGTAAACAAATGAATAAAATAATCCAGAAGGAGATATATGTAAAATGTTTCAGAACAAGGAAGCATTTGATATCATTCTGAATAGCACAAAAAATAAAAATACAACTGAAAATTACTTTTTCAATAAGAAATCAAAGAAAAAATATAATTTTTGATAACCTCAATATAATGAAAATATACATGAACCACAAATAACACTTTCTCTGAACTGCCAAGAACACAGTAAGCATTCTGTAAACTGTAACTATTATTAGTAAGCATTCTTAAACTGTAACTATTATTAGTAAGCATTCTATAAACTATAATTATTAACATCATGAAACTAGAACAAAAAAACAATAGGGAATGGAATGTCAAGGAAAGGCAGAGAAAAGGCATAAAAGGATTCCAAGACACTATAAAGCAATAACCAAACTAAGGTCTTGACAAAAGTGATGTGGATGAAAGAATTTAGAGAACTGATGTGTCAGTACTTAATTTTTCTAAGAAGAGACCAGAAAAAAAAAATTAGAAACCTGGGTGGGTGTTTGTCAACAACAATTACAGACAAGTCTTTTATTTTTGTGGCTGCCTGAGGCAATGGACAAAGGTTGGGGAAAATGTTTAAAAGTAAAAAGCGCAGAATGAGACAATCATAGGGGCTTTGAAAAGCTCCAAAATCTTTGTGGGGACTATAAATCATTTGCACGTGCATTTTGAGGAAATACCTGAAAAGGCCCTAAGTCCTCAACTCTGGCTGACCTTCAAGCTCTGTGCATGCTGAAAATGAAGTTTAGATCAGAGGTCTGAGCTGCCTTGATTGAGGGTTGAAATGTACCCCAGTACACACAAACAGCCCCTCAGAAGATAATAGGAAATTTATTGATTCCATGCATTTAAGAAAGTTTATATCAAATTATTAGCTGAGCACTGGAGTAGAGACTTTAGTGGTCATGCACAATAAAGAATACAGATTTTATAAAATTAGTTTAGAAAAGTCACTAAAAAACAGTAATAACTTCAGCAAGTAGCAGTTATAGCAAGCCCCCAGGAGAGAATGTATTTTCCAGAGTTGCCAAAATTTATTATTTAAAATGTCCAGCTTTCAACAAAAAATATAAGACATGCAAAGAAACAAAAACTACAACCTATACACAGGGAAAAAAAGCAATCAATGGAAACATTCTTTGAGGAAGTATAGACATTAGACTTATTCATCAAAGTCTCTAAATCATTACTCGTATATATATTCAAAGAGTAAATGAAACTTTGTCTAAAGAAAGAAAATTAAGAGAAAGGACATATCAATAAAGAGATATAAATTATAAATAACAATCAAATAGAAATTATAGAGTTGAAAAGTACAATAACTGAACTAAAAAATATACCAGAGGGTCTCCACTACATATTTGAACAGGCAGAGGAACAAATCAGCAACTTGAAGAATGGCCAATTGAACTTCTTCAATCAGAATACCAAAATGCTAAATACTGAAGAAAAATAAACAGAGCCAGAGACTTATGGGAAACCATCAAGCATACCAGCATCTGAAAAAGAATGGGCCTCAGAAGCAGAGAGAGGAACAGAAATAGTGTTTGAACAAAGGATGGACAAAAACTTTCCAAAAACACTAATCTGTACATTCAGAAGCCTCAACAAACTTTATATGCTATAAACTTGGAGAGGCACAACTTGGCACATCACAATAATACTGTAAAAGCCAAAGACCAATATGAATCTTGAAAGCAGGGATAGAATTGACCCCTAACTTTTGAGGGATCCTAAATAAGAATAACTCCTAATATCTCAACATAAACCATGGAGACTAGGACATATCCAAAGTGCTGAACAAGAAAATCAAAGAACAAAATTGTCAACCAAGAATTACATGTCCAGAAAAACTATCCCTCAAAAATAGAGAAATGAAGTTATTTCCACATAAAAACTGAGAGAATTTACGACTTGCTGAGTGTCTTAAAAAGAACTACTAAAGAAAGTACTTCATGATAAAATAAAAGGACAATATTCAGTAACTAGAATCCACACTGAAAAGTAATGAAATGAAGAACATCAGTAAAGTTAACTACATACACAACAAAGAAAAAAATTGTATTTTGTCTGAAATTATTTTTTCTGCCTTACTTAAAAGGCAAGTGCATAAGCAAAAATTGTACATCTGTGTTAATGTACACACAAGGTATAATTATGTTATGTCAAGAATATTGCTTTGGGAATGTACATTCTGCTGTTGGAAATAGTTTGACAATTTCTCAAAAAGTTCAGCATATAAATTTATCTTATGACCCAGTATTTCTACACCTAAGTATTTACCCAAGAAAACATATGTTCACACAAATACTTGTACATGAAAATTCATGCCAACATTATTCATAATCATTAAAATGTGAAAACAATGCAAATGTCAATCAACTGATGAATACATAAAGAAAATATGGGATATCTATACTGTATTAGTTTTCTGTGGCTGTTGTAAGAAATTACCATAAATTGTGGTGTTTTAAGACAGCAGAAATGTACTCTCACATTTCTGGAGGCCAGATAGCTGAAGTTAGCTTCAGTGAGTCAAAATCAAAGTGTGGGCAGGGTTTTACTTTCTCTGGAGAAATCTGTTTCTTGCTTCTTCTAGCTTCTAATAGCTGCCAATATTACTTGATTGTGGCTGCATTACTCCAGTCTTCTCCTCAGTCTTCTCACATCACTACATCCTCTCCCTCTCTCTCTCTCTCTGTGTGTGATTGTGTGTGTGTGTGTGTGTGTGTGTCCAATTTCTTGTGACATTCTCTGAAAAGGAAACTTATTATTTTGGGCTTACCTGGATAATCCTAAATACTGTTGTCATTTTAAGGCCCTTAATGTAATTACATCTGCAAAAACTCTTTTTCAAATATGTTAATAGTCATAGGATATTGGGATTAGGACATTGGTGCATCTTTGGGTGTTATTACCAGTCTACCACGGTAGTATCTCTTACAAATGGTCTGGGAATATTTGGACATCTATATTCATAGGAAGGAATCTGGATCATTATTTTGCATTACATAACGTTTAATTAGAAATGCATCATAGACCTAATTATGAGTTAAATCTAGAAAACTTCTATTAGAAATCATAGGAGAAAACACTGTAAACTTAAGCAAAGATTTTCTTAGAATCTAAGAAGCACTAATCCTTAAAGGAAAAATAGATAAACTGGACGTCATCAAAATTATAATCTGATGGTTTTATAAAACACTGTTAAGAAAATGAAAATACTAGGCATGACTGGAAGAAAATATTTGCAAAACACATATGTAATACATGATTTTATCCAGTATATATATCTATATATAGATTTTATATATAGATATATATAAAGATATTATACCATATTAGTACAAACAATCCCCATAAAATGGACAAAATAATTGATCAGAAACTTCAAAAAAGAGAAACAGAGGGTAAATAAACACATCATTGATTGTTAAATAAATATAAATCAAATCAGAATGAGATACACACCTAGTATAGTGACTCAAACTGAAAGGAGTGACCACACAAAGTATCAACTAAAGGGCAGAGACTTTTTAAATTTTTATTCTAAGTTCATGTGTACAAGTGCAGGATTGTTACATAGCTAAACTTGTGCCATGGGGTTATGTTGTAAGATTGTTTCATCACCCATATATTAAGCCTAGTACCAATTTACTTTTCCTGATGCTCTCCTTCCTCCCACCCTCCACCCTCCAAAAGGCCCTAGTGTGTGTTGTTCCCTTCTATGTGTCCATGTGTTCTCATTATTTAGCTCCCAATTATAACTGAGAACATGCACTATTTGGTTTTTTGTTCCTGTGTTAGTTTGCTTCACGATGTGTCTCAATGACAACCCCAGTGGGCAAATGGAGAAACAAACGTTGATATTCTTCACAATGGAATATTGTTCAGCATTAAATAAAGAATGTAATACTGATAAATGTAACAACTTGAATGCATTTCAAAAGCATAGAAAATGAAAGAAGCTAGATTGAAAAAAGTAATATTGTACAACTCCATTTATGTGATATTCAGGGAAAGGCAAAATGTTCTATCTCACTTTTTAAGGAGTCCATAGTGTTAACAGAACTTAAAAGATTATCACAGTTCTGGTCCTACTGTCCTGGTCCTATATCTTATTTTTAAAAATTGAACTATCTAGTTTAGTTACATTTAACACAATTGCTGATGTATTTAGTAATTAATTCCCATTGTTGTGCTATTTATTTTCTACTTGACTCTTAGATCCTGTGTTCTTTTCCACCTATTTTATGTATTGACTACTCTGGATTAATCAAATATTTATTTCTATTATACTTCCCCTCTTTTCACTTGTTATAGATTACAATGATTGTAATGGCTTCACCAAAAGATTATTAAATCACAAATTATCAAGTTATTTAAACTCTATATATTACTTACTTTCCTATGTACTCAATAATTGTAGAAATTTAGAGTATGTCATTCCATTTACCCTTCTCTTAAATTACATGCTATTTTATCATCTCTTCTAATTCTACTTATGCCTTAAAACACAAAATACATTATTTTCTTCACTCAGTATTCATTTATGTTTACTCACATATTTTCTATGTTACTATTTCTTCTAATATTTATGCCTGAAGAACTCATGTTAGTATTCTCTGTCTCAAACCATATTTTTTATCATCATCTGTTAGTACAATTACAATCCTTTTTTAATTTCAGGAATATAATCCAATATATTTATATTTTGTATTTTTATGAATATTCATCTAGTTTTCAATTACTGACTAAAAGAAAAGGTGATTCCTGAGTCCTGAAGTACCTATACCCATTCTAGTGAGACAGAACCCAGGCTAAAGGTGATTAGAGATCCAAGTCAATTCAGACATAAATAATTCATCTAATCGAGGGTAATGAGGTTATATAATTGCTTGGAGTACATTTTTAAGCTTTAGCTATTAAAAATTTTAACTCTTAATAGCAAGATAATGGGATTTTTAAATTTCATTCAATTTTTAATATCTT
The DNA here is from genome assembly GCF_000001405.40 of Homo sapiens. NCBI lineage: Eukaryota > Metazoa > Chordata > Mammalia > Primates > Hominidae > Homo > Homo sapiens. The sequence goes on from NC_000002.12 coordinate 57,224,271, forward strand.
TAGACATTAATTTGCAAGAAGATTTAATTTTTGCTCTTCAGTATATATCAAGAACTTCATAATGGGAAAAAATTTATATTCAAATCTAAAGCATATCTTTGTTGTTGCTATTCTTATGTGTATGTCTACATTTATTTAATTTTAAAGTATATTTTATATTTAATATATTGTATAACTTCAGCTGAACCATAATGGACTGTATCTCAATCTAATTTGGGGTGAGAAAAAAATGGAATAGAATTTATTGCATTGTGGATAGAGTGCCCTTCTACATTATTTAATTAAGGTTTTCCTGATAGATAAAAGAGTCATCCAGGGGATTGGAAAACCTCCAATACACATTAATGATCCCAAAAAGATACGTAAAGCAACAGTAGCAGATACTTAGAAAATATGTTAATAGAGTGCAAGCCACTCATGATTTCTTGTCCTGAGAAAGAATAGACTAGTTTTGATTGAGAAAGAGCTTAATGATTAAACCCACTGGGGGTAACAAAATGTATACACTACAGAAGACTGACTGGGGAGGGAATTGCTTCCTCTGACATTATGATACCGTGTGAAGCAAGACAAACTGTGGTAACAATCTTAATCTTTTGCTCCTTTATGTACGCCTTCCCAGAGGTCATTTATTTCTCCATTGGTGCATTTGGGAGGTATGTTAGACTTAATAATGCCTTTTTAAAATGTCCACGTCCTAATCCTGTGAATATGTTGACCTATATGTCAAAAGGAAGTTTGTCCAATTTATTGTTAAAATATTAGTAACCCTACTTGGTTAAGAGACTTAATGCTATGTTCTTCAACATACACATTATAAATAACAAGTTGAATATATATGTATTATATATATAATACATATATATTCAACATTATATGTATAACATCTATTTTTCACGTTGTTTCCAATTTAGAATTGTGAAAAACAGGTGCCATATATTAACTCTCTCAAACCCCTTCAATAGCCTCATAGGTTACTGTCAGGTGCATCTGCGTGAAGAGACCATCAAACAGACTTTGTGTGAGTAATAAAGCTTTTTAATCACCTGGGTGCAGGCTGGCTGAGTCTGAAAAGAGAGTCAGCAAAAGGTGGTGGGATTATCATTAGATCTTATAGGTTTGGGATGGGCGGTGGAGTTAGGAGCAATGTTTTGTGGGCAGTGGATGGATCTCCCCAAGTACATTCTCAAGGGTGGGGAGAATATTACAAAGTACCTTCTTAAGGGTGGGGGAATATCACAAGTACATTATCGCAAGGGCGGGAAGGGCATATTGTCATAAACTCAATTGATCAGTTAGGGTGGAGAAGGAACAGATCACAATGGTGGAATATCATCTTTTGTGGTTCTTCAGTTGCTTCAGGCCGTCTGCATGTATATGTGCAGGTCACAGGGGATGTGATGGCTTAGCTTGGGCTCAGAGGCCTGACAGTTACTAACAGCTTATGTAGCTGGTAACCCTGGACAAATTAACCTGTCTTCATCTCTCTGTCCTTATCTGCTAAATGTGGCTAATAATAATACTCACCTCTAATGATTGCTATAAAAATTAAGTACATTAATATTTGTAGAGTGCTTAGATCAGCTCCTCCTATAATAACTGCTCAATCAATGTAAACTACCTTCTCTTTTATATTGTAAAAGAGTTTACAATATAAAAGAGTTTAATAAAAAAGGACATTTTAAATCACTACCTTCCACTTTGCTTATACCATAACACATGAGCAGAGTATGCGGTAAACAAGATTGAAAGATGACTCCCTTTGGCAGTCAAATATTTTTAACAGCTAAATTTCTCAGAAATGGTTTTATTTTATAAAATGTTTCAAATAAATCTTTCCCACCTGCCAACTTAGCTCACTTAAGGTTAAAGGTAACTTTAAAAGTATCAAGCCTGAAGGAATACCGTCCAATTATTGCTTCCTCTTCACTGCCATAAGTGCTCAGAGACTGCCTTGAAAATAGTGATTCATTGGAAAACATGGTCACTTTCAACTTTGAGTATGTGAGGGGAAAAAAGCAGCAACAAAGGTTAACCTAGCTGAGAAATTATACTACGAGAAAATATGTTGGAAAGAGAACAAGCCAAGTTCTTCATATAGTCATGAGCTCATATATATTCTTAAAAATGTTAAATGATAAATTGTAAAATCAGTTATCTGATTTTACAATTTTTTTATAGAAAAAATCTCTCTCTCTACCTTCATGTTTTTGGACACAGCAATTTGAAAATCATAAGATAGGGATAATATTTTAATCATTGAAATTGTGATTTTGAACTACCACTGAACACTGCATGACATATAGAAGGTTCATTTCCAGCAAATCTAGCTAAAACTGTTAAGGGGAAGTTGCCTTAAAATAGCATAATTACTCTGGATAGCTGTCTTTTTGCATATAAATCATAGATTTTTATCAGCCTTCTCCATCCTTGTCATGTTGATACTACTGATGACATGACATTAATATACACATTCAAGGTTTTGGGGTTGCTTGGGAGTGAGTTGCAGAGCTGGAAGGACTTCACAAAATCATCTTAAGTTTTCTTTTATTTTATCTATAGCTCTTGCCTTAGGAGAAAACTTTCCAAACTACTTACATTTCTCGTTTGCACTCAACATTTGATAGAAGGTCAGGAAATATGCATATTATTCTCTTCCTACACCCATAAATAGGACTCTGGCTCCTATTTAACAAGTAAGAATTTAAATTATTTTGATAGCCTTTTTAATACAAGTTGAGGAATTTAGTTTATGGAATAGTCTAGAAATTATGTAATTCCCCATTGATTATTGCATACTTTTTTTTCAAGATTTATTTCAGTACAATAATTTTAAGAGACTGGCCAGGTTTGAAATGGCTCTAGAATTTTCTTCCATTCAAAATTCATTTAAATAGAGGACTCCATGTAGCTATGTCTATATCTATCTATCTATATTTTTCTATAAAGGTATTTTTTATGGCACAGTAACTGTCAGGTCTCTGAGCCCAAGCTAAGCCATCATATCCCTTGTGACCCACACATACACATCCAGATGGCTGGTTGCTGCCTTAACTGATGACATTCCACCACAAAAGAAATGAAAATGGCCTGTTCCTGCCTTAACTGATGACATTATCTTGTGAAATTCCTTCTCCTGGCTCAAAAGCTCCTCTACTGAGCACCTTGTGACCCCCACTCCTGCCTACCAGAGAACAAACCCCCTTTGACTGTAATTTTCCTTTACCTACCCAAATCTTATAAAATGGCCCCACCCCTGTCTCCCTTCGCTGACTCTTTTTGGACTCAGCCCGTCTGCACCCAGGTGAAATAAACAGCCTTGTTGCTCACACAAAGCCTGTTTGGTGGTCTCTTCACACCAATGCAAGTGAAATTTTGGTGCCCTGACTCGGACTGGGGTATCTCCCTTGGGAGATCAATCCCCTGTCCTACAGAATGGGAGAAGAATTTTGCAATCTACTCAACTTACAAAGGGCTAATATCCAGAATCTACGAAGAACTCAAAAAATTTACCAGAAAAAAACAAACAACCACATCAAAAAGCAGGCAATGGATATGAAAAGACACTTCTCAAAAGAAGACATTTATGCAGCCAACAGACACATGAAAAAATGCTCATCATCACTGGCCATCAGAGAAATGCAAATCAAAACCACAATGAGGTACCATCTCACACCAGTTAGAATGGTGATCATTAAAAAGTCAGGAAACAACAGGTGCTGGAGAGGATGTGGAGAAATAGGAACACTTTTACACTGTTGGTGGGACTGTAATCTAGTTCAACCATTGTGGAAGTCAGTGTGGCGATTCCTCAGGGATCTAGAACTAGAAATACCATTTGACCCAGCCATCCCATTACTGGGTATCTACCCAAAGGATTATAAATCATGCTGATACAAAGACACATGCACACGTATGTTTACTGTGGCACTATTCACAATAGCAAAGACTTGGAACCAACCCAAATGTCCAAAAATGATAGACTGGATTAAAAAAATGTGGCACATATACACCATGCAACACTATGCAGCCATAAAAAAGGGTGAGTTCATGTCCTTTGTAGGTAAATGGCTGAAGCTGGAAACCATCATTCTCAGCAAAATATCGCAAGGACAAAAAACGAAACACCACATGTTCTGACTTATAGGTGGGAATAGAACAATAAGAACACTTGGAGACTGAAAGGGGAACACCACACACCGGGGCCTGCTGTGGGAAGGGGGAGAGGGGAGGGATAGCCTTAGGAGATATACCTAAGATAAATGACTAGTTAATGGGTGCAGCACAACAGCATGTCACATGTACACATATGTAACAAACCTTCACGTTGTGCACATGTGCTCTAGAACTTAAAGTATTTTATATGTATATATGTATAAACATATATACATATATACATATAAACACATATAAACATATACGTATATACACATATATACAAATACATATATACATATATTATATATATGTATATATATTATATTATACATATATTATATATATATTATATTATACATATATACATACACACATAAACATATTACATACATATACAAATTATACACATATACATATATACATATATGTATATACATACATTATATATAAATATATGTATATAAAATGTACATTATATATACATATATATTATGTATAAATAATATATAAAATAAACATAATATATATTTATAGATATGATATATATAATATATATGTATACATATATACATATATGTATATATAATGTACATTATACATACATAAACATCATATATAAATGTTATATATATAATATAAATATATATAATATATAATATATACTTTATATACTATATATAATATATATAATATGATATAACATATACTATATATACTATATATAATATATACTATATATACTGTATATAATATATAATATAATATATACTATATATACTAAATATAATATACATAATATAATATATACTATATATAATATATAATATATAATATAGTATATATACTATATATAATAATTACATATTATATATTATACATTATATATTATATAATTATTATATATAATTATATATTACATACTTTGTATATAATGTAAATATACATTAGAATATATAATGTATATATATGTACATATATAATGTATATATGTATACATTATATAAACTATATATAAACATTATATTATATAAACATTATATATAAACATTGTATGTACATATCATATATATTATATGTGTGTATATATATATATTATATGTGTGTATATATATAAAAAATCCCCCTACGACCTCTCGTCCTCCATCCAACCAGCCCAAGGAACATCTCACCAATTTTAAATCTGGTAAGCAGCCTCTTTTTACTCTCTTCTCCAACCTCTCTCACTATCCCTCAACCTCTTTCTCCTTTCAATCTTGGTGCTATACTTCAATCTCTCCCTTCTCCTAATTTAAGTTCCTTTCCTTTTCTGTTAGAGACAAAGGAGATGCATTTTATCCATGGACCCAAAACTCCGGCACCAGTCACGGACTCGGGAAGACAGTCTTCCCTTGGTGTTTAATCACACGGGGATGCCTGCCTGATTATTCACCCACGTTTCAGAGGTGTCTGACCATGCGGGGACGCCTGCCTTGGTCCTTCACCCTTAGCGGCAAGTACCGCTTTTCTGGGGGGCAAGACGTCCTCCAACCCCTTCTGTGTCTCTACCCCTTCTCTGCTTTTCTGGGGGACAAGAACCTCCTAACCCCTTCTCCTTCATCCTTAGTGGCAAGTACCACTTTTCTGGGGGTCAAGAACCCCCCACCGCTTCTCTCCGTGTCTCTACTCTTTCTTTTCTCTGGGCTTGCCTCTTTCACTATGGGCAAGCTTCCACCCTCCATTCCCCCTTCTTTTCCCTCAGCCTGTGTTCTTAAAAACCTAAAACCTCTTCAACTCACACCTGACCTAAAACCTAAATGACTTATTTTCTTCTGCAATGCCACTTGACCCCAATACAAATTCGACAGTGGTTCAGAAAATGGCACTTTCAATTTTTCCATCCTACAAGATCTAAATAATTCTTGTCATAAAATGGGCAAATGGTCTGAGGTGCCTGACGTCCAGGCATTCTTTTACACATCGGTCCCTCCCTAGTCTCTGTTCCCAAAGCAACTCATCCCAAATCTTCCTTCTTTCCCTCCCACCTGTCCCCTCAGTCCCAACCCCAAGCATCACTGAGTCTTTCTAATCTTCCTTTTCTTCAGACCCATCTGACCTCTCCCCTCCTCACCAGGCCAAGCTAGGTCCCATTTCTTCCTCAGCCTCTGCTCCCCAACCCTATAATCCTTTTATCACCTCCCCTCCTCACAGCCGGTCAGGCTTACAGTTTTGTTCTGCGACTAGCCCTCCCCCACCTGCCCAGCAATTTCGTCTTACAAAAGGTGGCTGGAGCTAAAGGCATAGTCAAGGTTAATGCTCCTTTTTCTTTTTCCGAACTCTCCCAAAATCAGTTCACGTTTAGGCTCTTTTTCATCAAATATAAAAACCCAGCCCAGTTCATAGCTCGTTTGGCAGCAACCCTGAGACGCTTTACAGCCCTAGACCCTGAAAGGCCAGAAGGCCGTCTTATTCTCAATATGCATTTTATTTTATTACCTAATCTTCTCCCGACATTAAATAAAGCTCCAAAAATTAAATTCTGACCCTCAAACCCCACAACAGGACTTAATTAACCTCACCTGCAAGATGTACAATAATAGAGTAGAGGCAGCCAAGTAGCAATGTATTTCTGAGTTGCAATTCCTTGCCTCCACTGTGAGACAAACCCCAGCCACATCTCCAGCACACAAGAACTTCCAAACACCTAAACTGCAGCCGCCAGGCATTCCTCCAGGCCTCCCTCCCCCAGGAGCTTGCTACAAGTGCTGGAAATCTGGCCACCAGGCCAAGGAATGCCCACAGCCCAGGATTCCTCCAAGTCGTGTCCCATCTATGTGGTACCCCACTGGAAATCGCCTTTTCCCCCAGTCCAACTCACCCGGCAGCCACTCCCAGCACCCCTGGAACTCTGGCCCGAGGCTCCCTGACTCCTTCCCAGATCTTCTTGGCTTAGCGGCTGAAGACTGAGGCTGCCCAATTGCCTCAGAAGCTTCCTGGACCATCACAGATGCTTTAGGTTACTGTCACAGTGGAGGGTAAATCCATCCCCTTCTTAATCAATACAAAGGCTACCCACTCCACATTACCTTCTTTTCAAGGGCCTGTTTCCTTCGCCCCCATAACGTTGTGGGTATTGACGGCCAGGCTTAAACCTCTTAAAATTCCCCAACTCTGGTGCCAATTTAGACAATACTCTTTTAAGCACTCCTTTTAATTATCCCCACCTGCCCAGTTCCCTTTATTAGGCTGAGATAGTTTAACTAAATTATCTGCTTCCCTGACTATTCCTGGGCTACAGCCATGACTCATTGCTGCCTTTTCCCCCACTTCAAAGCCTCCTTCACATCCTCCCCTTGTATCTCCCCACCTTAGCCCACAAGTATAAGATACCTCTACTCCCTCCTTGGTGACCGATCATGCACCCCTTACCATCTCATTAAAACCTAATCACCCTTACCCTGGTCAAAGCCAATATCCCATCCCATAATGCGATTTAAAAGGATTAAAGCCTGTTATCACTCACCTGCTACAGCATGGCCTTTTAAAGCCTATAAACTCTCCGTACAATTCCCCCATTTTACCTGTCCTAAAACCAGACAGGCCTTACAGGTTAGTTCAGGATCTGCACCTTATCAACCAAATTGTTTTGCCTGTCCACCCCGTGGTGCCAAACCCATATACTCTCCTATCCTCAATACCTCCCTCCACAACCCATTATTCTCTTCTGGATCTCAAACATGCTTTCTTGGCTATTCCTTTGCACCCTTCATCCCAGCCTCTCTTCGTTTTCACTTGGACTGACCCTGACACCCATCAGGCTCAGCAAATTACCTGGGCTGTACTGCCGCAAGACTTCACAGACAGCTCCCATTACTTCAGTCAAGCCCAAATTTCTTCCTCATCTGTTACCTATCTCAGCATAATTCTCATAAAAACACACGTGCTCTCCCTGCCAATCGTGTCTGACTGATCTTTCAAACCCCAAAACCTTCTACAAAACAACAACTCCTTTCCTTCCTAGGCATGGTTAGTGCGGTCAGAATTCTTACACAAGAGCTGGGACTGTACCCTGTAGGCTTTCTGTCCAAACAACTTGACCTTACTGTTTTAGCCTGGCCCTCAGGTCTGCGTGCGGCGGCCGCCGCCACCCTAATACTTGTAGAGGCCCGTAAAATCACAAACTATGCTCAACTCCCTCTCTACAATTCTCATAAGTTCCAAAATCTGTTTTTTTCCTCACACCTGACACATATACTTTCTGCTCCCTGGCTTCTTCAGCTGTACTCACTCTTTGTTGAGTCTCCCACAATTACCATTGTTCCTGGCCCAGACTTCAATCCGGCCTCCCACACTATTCCGGATACCACACCTGAACCCTATGACTGTATCTCTCTGATCCATCTAACATTCACCCCATTTCCCCATATTTCCTTCTTTCCTGTTCCTCACCCTGAACACACTTGGTTTATTGATGGTAGTTCCACCAGGCCTAATCGCCACATACCAGCAAAGGCAGGCTATGCTATAGTACAAGCCACCAGCCCGCCTCTTGGAACCTCTCATTTCCTTTCCATTGTGGAAATCTATCCTCACATGAATAACTTCTCAGTGTTCCATCTGCTATTCTACTACTCCTCAGGGATTATTCAGGCCCCCTCCCTTCCCTACACATCAAGCTCAAGGATTTGCCCCTGCCCAGGACTGGCAACTCTTAACTCTTAACTCCCTCTTAGAGTGGATAGATGATCTTTGCTGGCAGGGGACCTGAAGTTCTATTCTTTACTTTTATGCTCACTCTTATTCTCATTCCCATTCTTATGCCTCCCTCTACCTCTCCCCAGCTATCTCCACCACACTATCAACCTTACTCATTCTCTCCTAGCTGTTTCTCATCCCTCCTTAGCGAACAAACACTGGCTTTGCATTTCCCTTTCTTCCAGCACCTAAACAGCTGTCCCTCCTTACATGCAGACTAGGCAACATCTTCTGTCTCCCTACACCTCCGAACTTCCTTTAACAGCCCTCACATTTACCCTCCTGAAGAACTCATTTACTTTCTAGACAGGTCCAGCAAGACCTCCTCAGACATTTCACATCAGCAAGCTGCCGCCCTCCTCTGTACTTAGTTAAAAAAACTTTCTCCTTATATCAACTCTACTCCTCCCATATTTAGACCTCTCACAACACAAACTACTATTCCCGTGGCCACTCACTTATGTATCTCTTGGCAAAGACCCACTGGAATTCCCCTAGGTAAACTTTCACCTTCTCAATGTTCCTTTACTCTTCATCTCCAAAGCCCTCTCCTTATTTACTTATACCCAGCCCCGCAAATAACAGTGAAAGGTTGCTCATAGACACTCAATGTTTTCTCACACACCATGAAAATCGAACCTCCCCTCCTACACAGTTACCTCGTCAGTCCCCATTACAACCTCTGATGGCTGCCGCCCTAGCTGCATCCCTAGGAGTCTAGGTACAAGACACCTCTTTCAGCACTCCTTCTCATGTTTTTAGTTTGCATCTCCAGTTTTGCCTCGCACAATGTCTCTTCTTCCTCTGTAGATCCTCTACCTACATGTGTCTACCTGCTAATTGGACAGGCACATGCACACTAGTTTTCCTTACTCCCAAAATTCAATTTGCAAATAGGACCGAAGAGCTCTCTGTTCCCCTCATGACACCGACACAACAAAAAAGAGTTATTCCACTAATTCCCTTGCTTGTCAGTTTAAGACTTTCTGCCTCCACTATTGCTCTCAGTACTGGAATAGCAGGAATTTCAACCTCTGGCATGACCTTCCATAACCGCTCTAATGACTTCTCTGCTAGCATCACAGACAGGTCACAAACTTTATCAGTCCTCCAGGCCCAAGTTGACTCTTTAGCTGCAGTTGTCCTCCAAAACCACCAAGGCCTTGACTTACTCACTGCTGAAAAAGGAGGACTCTGTATATTCTTAAATGAAGAGTGTTGTTTTTACCTAAATCGATCTGGCCTGGTATATGACAACATAAAAAAACTCAAGGATAGAGCCCAAAAACTTGCCAACCAAGTAAGTAATTATGCTGAATCCCCTTGGACACTCTCTAATAAGATGTCCTAGGTCCTCCCAATTCTTAGTTCTTTAATACCTGTTTTTCTCCTTCTCTTATTCCATTTAGTTTTTCAATTCATACAAAAACTGTATCCAGGCCATCACCAATAATTCTACATGACAAATGTTTCTTCTAACAACCCCACAATATCACCCCTTACCACAAAATCTTCCTTCAGCTTAATCTCTTCCACTCTAGGTTCCCACGCCACCCCTAATCCCGTTCAAAGCAGCCCTGAGAAACATCACCCATTATCTCTCCATACCACCCCCAAAAATTTCCACCGTTCCAACACTTTACCACTATTTCATTTTATTTTTCTTATTAATATAAGAAGACAGTAATGTCAGGCCTCTGAGCCCAAGCTAAGCCATCATATCCCTTGTGACTTGCACGTACACATCCAGATGGCCGGTTCCTGCCTTAACTGATGACATTATCTTGTGAAATTCCTTCTCCTGGCTCATCCTGGCTCAAAAGCTCCCCTACTGAGCACCTTGTGACCCCCCCACTCTTGCCCACCAGACAACAACCACCCTTTGACTGTAATTTTCCTTTACCGATCCAAACAAATCTTATAAAACGGCCCAACCCCTATCTCCCTTCACTGACTCTCTTTTTGGACTCAGCCCGCCTGCACCCAGGTGAAATAAACAGCCTTGTTGCTCACACAAAGCCTGTTCGGTGGTCTCTTCACACGGACCTGAGTGAAAGTAACTGTATTTGCTAAAGCAGAAATTAAACCAAGGCACTTAAGATGAATAATTTTTCTCATTTATACTAAATAATAAAAGTGTGTAATAGTGTTGTCAATAATTAACAGTGACCTACAGCCTCTGTAATTGGGCAATGAAACTGAATGTTGATAGATGGGATAAATGAAGTATAAATGGCAATTCATTTCCTGTTTTGTGGAGCTTGATTTCCTCCTTTTTATTGTTGAACTGTTGCAAAACACATTAGACATCTATTTTTCCTACTTTTAATTTTTGGTCTATCCACATCATTCACACATCTAATGTTTGAGAATTGCAACAATCCCAAATTTTTTGTCTCATCTTGCAGAGTGTACTGTCTCTTTAAATAAATACTGCTACTACTATTTGTCCAGCTGGTCCAGCCCAGAACTTTTTTCCACTCCTCTGTAGGAATGTACTTTATCATCCTTTAATTAACTCTGCTACTTAACCTTTGCTATGAATCTCTTGGCTGAATTCTTTCTTCCAAGTTAGAGAAGATTCAACGATTCCCACTCTTCCAAGTAACATAACTAATTTCATTCTGTGACACATCCTATCCTAATTCTCCTTTCCTTACATTTATTTGGTATAGCTACTCTTCCATGATATTGAGCCCTTTGGACCCTAATCTATCCCTTTTCTTCAGTATAACACTCATTCCTTTTTATGCCTATTTTCTTACTGTTTACTTCATATATTAACTTATCCATTCAGTTTTTATTGGTAATCACTCAATCCAGTATGACTTCTTTTCTTGGTATCTTTGGTTTCATGCAGGACCCACTTTGGAAATTATCAAACCTGAAAGAGACGGCCCATCTACATTTTAGTACCCGTAAAATGAAAAATTTCAAATGTAGCCCTTGGTCAAACTATGACCATAATTCAAAACCCATAATTTTATGTGCCTACTGAACACTCCCATATTTATATTTCATAGACATCACAAAATCAATATGTTCAAAATGTTCCCCCCTCACATCTCCTTCTCCTTCTGTATTTCTACTTTTGGTTATTAGAAATAATTATTTCCAGTTGTAAGTCACCAAAAACTATTTCCCATCACAGTAAGCTCTTATTAAAGAAATTGAATTTTAAAGACTCCTTATTCCGAGTTTTACATGTAAATGTATATACTCTATTAAATCTCTTATAATACTTGTGCCATTATATAAATATTCTGAGTGTATGTCAGTATAAATTCCCAATGAATAACAGCAACAATTTCAGAGTGATGTAATAACATGTACGTATGAAAGATAAAAATAAAGAATTGTATTTAAATAAGAGAGTCAGTTATATTAAGGAGTCTTTTAAAACAGCTACTTGATTTTACAATAACATATTTATCATAGATATTATTTATGTTTTTTTCTCTTCTCACATAATTTCAGATGAGAGGCCTCACACTGAAACATTTATTTTCTAGACAAAGCCATATATTAGTTTTGACAAACCAGACTTAGACATTTTCAGAATGTTAAAGAACAAATAATAAGTAATTTTCCAGCAGGTTATTATGAAGTGTGTCTCCAAAATCTCATTTCCCTCACTTAAGATTAGTCTTCTCATGAAGCTGATACTCCTCCATAAAATATTTATTTAAAAATTCTGTTTAATTCATATTTTGATTAATAGTCCCATAAGTGAAAAAGGAACTAGCCTTTATCTTCAAAATAAAATTATAGTACTAATATGTATACCAAATATAACTATCAACTGGTGCCATATATTAAACTTAGGAAGACTTCTAATTCTTACTCTGTTAATAAAGAGACTTCAGCAAGACCATGGAAGAGGACTTTTCACTGCTTATCCTCTTAAAAACCATTAGCTTAAACAACTATTCATGCACAAAAATACCTTTGCAAAGAGCAAATGAAACAGGGTGAGAGATTACAGCACCCAAGTGTAGCATGGAAATAAGAAAAGACTCATTGGAGAAGTTAGAAAGTATAGTTTTACATCACCCACCTCATTCCTTCTTCAACCCAGGCAGTGTAATGTGTAGAAAGATACCCTCTGCTTGGGAAAAGGAGAAAAAAGAACCACAACACAGGGCCCATTCTAGTAAAAGGAAGTTCCTCATGGCCCCAGATTCTAAGCCACTACTAGTGTACTGAGCATGCAAGCCTGTCCCGGTGCCGTGCCAATGCCAGTGAACCCAGGGTACCGTCCAGCCCCAGCACTTATGCCTTATCCCCATCCCTAATGCCAGGCAAGCCCTGCAGATTCAGTTTCCAGGTACACCCAGGGTCCAGGCCAGCCTTGGCAGCCTAAGGCTCCAGACTGTCCAAAACACTGGGATTTTTTTTCTTTTTTTGAGATAAACATAAAAGGACACACAACATACCACAATTTATGGGATGCAGCAAAAGCAATTCTTAGATGAAAGTTTATAGCAGTAAGTGCCCACATCAAAAAAGAAGACACCTAATGTTATATCTCAAGAAACTAGAAAAAGTATAAACTAGGCCCAAATTTATTAAAAGGAAGAAAGTAGTAAAGATTCGAAAAAAATAAATAATACAGAGGCTAGAAAAAAATAGAAAAGATCAGCAATATTGAGGGTTTTTTTGAAAATTGACAAACCTTTAGCTAGACTAAGTAAAAAAATGGGAGAAGATGCAAATAAATAAAATCAGAAATAAAAGAAGAAATATAACAACTGATACCACATAAATACACAGGATTATGAGAGTACTATTAATAATCATACGCCAACAAATTGACAATTAAGAAGAAATCGATACATTCTTGGACACATAAAACCTACCAATATTTAGTTACAAAGAAACAGAAAATATGAATGGACCAATAAGGACAGTAAGGGTACTTAATCAGTAACAACAAACAAAAACTCCCATGAATAAAAAAAGAAAGAAAGAAAGTACAGGACCCAATGACTTCATTACTAAATTCTACCAAACATGTAAACATTCTTTCTGAACTCATAACAATTAAGGGGGAAATACTTTCAAAGTCATTTTACAAAATCAGTATTACCCTGATACCAATGACAAGGAAAACAAACCAAAAAAAACAAAATAATAGACACTATTCCTGATGAATATAGATGCAAAAATCTCCAACAAAATACTAGCCAAAAAAATTTAACAGCACAGTAAATGGAATATACACCATGATCAAGTAGAATCTATCCTTGGGATGCTAGGATGGTTCAACATACACAAATGCTCTACACTAAATTAACAAAATGAAGAACAAAAATCATCTGATTATCTCAATAAATGAAAAAAAGATTCGACAAAATTCAACATTCTTTCATATGCCAAATATGATAAAGACTCTCAACAAATTATGCATAGGGAGAATGTATCTCACAAAAATAAAGGCCATATTGGGTACCCGAAAACAATGAATGTCAAATAACAGCCACATATGACAAACCACACTAAAGATCACAGTCAACAGTGAAAAGTTAAATTTTTTTTATCTCTAAGATCAGGCAAAAGACAAGGATACTTACTCTTGCCACTTATATTCAGAATAGTACTGGACTTTTTTTTTTTTTTTTTGAGACGGAGTCTTGCCCTGCGGCCCAGGCTGGAGTGCAATGGCATGATCTCGGGTCGCTGCAACCTCTGCCTCCCAGGTTCAAGTGATTCTCCTGCCTTAGCCTCCCGAATAGCTGGGATTACAGGCACACACCACCACACCTGACTAATTTTTTTTTTTTTTGTATGTTTAGTAGAGATGGGGTTTTACCATGTTGGCCAGGTTGGTCTCAAACTCCTGACCTTGTGATCTGCCCACCTCGGCCTTCCAAAGTGCTGGGATTACAGGTGTGAGCCACCGTGCCCAGCCAGTACTGGACATTCTTGCCAAAGATATTAGGCAAGAGAAAGAAAGAAAGAAAAGGCACACATTTCAGAAAGGAAGAAGTTAAATTGTCCCTATTTGCAGACAGAAGCTTATGTAGAGAAAATTCTAAAGACTTCAGCCAAAAACTATTAGAATTAGTAAATACATTCAATTAACTTGCAGGATACAAAATCAACATACAAAAAAATCAGCAGCATTTCTATATATTAACAGTGAACTATCTTGGTGAGAAATCAAGAAAACAATTCCATTTACAATATCTACTAAATAAATAAATTAAATACTTTGGAATAAACTTAACCAAGGAGGTAAAAGACCTATAACACTGAAAACTACATAACATTGATGATAGAAATTGAATAAGACACAAAAATGGAAATATATCTCATGTTCATAAATTAGAATTAATATTGTTAAAATGTTCAAATTCCCCAGAGTGAACCAAAGATGTAATGCAACACCTATCACATTTGTAATACAATTTTTCACGGACAGATGAAAAAATTCTTAAAACTGTCAGGAACCACAAAATATCCTGAATAGCCAAAAAATCTTAGCAAATAGATCAAAAGACTTCAAAATATACTGCAAAGTTTTGGTAATCAAAACAGCATGGTACTGGTATAAAAACAAACAGATCATTCAATGGAAAAGAATAGAGAGCCCAGAAATAAATCCACATTTTTAAGGTCAACTGATTTTTGACAAAGGTGCCAAGAACCCATGATGGGGAAAAGACAATCTCGTCAATAAATGTTGTCAGGAAAATGAATATCCACATGCATCCCTTACATCACACCACACACAAAACCAACTCAAAATGAATTAAAGACTTAAACCTAAGACCTGAAACTATAAAACTGCTAGAAGAAAACATAGTTGAAAAGCTTCAAGACAATGATTTGTTGGCTCTGACTCCAAATGCACAGCCAACAAAAACCAAAATAAGCACATCATTTTGCATCAAACTGAAAAACGTTTTCTAAGCCAAGGAAACAATCAACAGAGTAAAGATAACCCTATTGAATGGGAGAAAATATTTCTAATCCATACATTTGGTAAGAGGTCAATATTTAAAATACATAAGGAATTGAAACAACTGGATAGGAAGATACACATAAACTTAAAGATACACATAAAATTAAAAAATGGGCAAAGGATCTGAATAGACATTTCTTAAAATAAGACATACAAATTGCCAGCAGGTATTTGAAAAAAAGTTCAACTTCCTTATCATCCTGGAATTGCCAATTAAAACCACAATGAGATATCCTCTCAAGTATGTTAGAATGGCTATTATCAAAAAGAGGAAAGATAAAAACTGTTAGGAAGAAAGTGGAGAAAAGTGAACCCATGCAAACGGCTGGTTGGAATGTAAATTAATACAGCCATTAAGGTAAACAATATGGAGGTTCTTAAAAAAATTAGAACTACCATATGGTCCAGGAATCCCATTACTGAGTATACGTCCAAAGAAAATGAAATCAGTATGTCAAAGAGATATCTGCCTTCCCATGTTCATTGCATAATTATTCACAATAGCCAAGACAGAGAATCAACCTAAGTTTTCAACAATAGAAAAATGGACTGAAGAATGTGGTATATATACACAGAAGAATTCTATTCAGCCTTAAAGAAAGAAGGAAATCCTCTCTTATTTCCTTAGCAGTGGTTTGTAGTTCACCCAAACAAATGGAAAATCCATGATCATGGTTAGGAAGACTCAATGTTGTGAAAATGGCCATAATGTCCAAAGTAATTTATAGATTCAATACTATTCCCGTCAACCTACTACTGACGTTCTTTTCATAATTAGAAAATACTACTTTAAATTTCATATGGAACCAAAAAAGAGCCCATATAGCCAAGACAATACTAAGCAAAAAGAAAAAAGCTGGAGGCAACACGCTGCCTGACTTCAAACTATAATACAAAGCTATAGTAACCAAAATAGCATGGTACTGGTACCAAAACAGATACATGGACTGATGGAACAGAACAGAGACCTCAGAAATAACACTACACAGCTACAACAATCTGATTTTCAACAAACCTGACAAAAACAAGCAATAGGGAAAGCATTCCCTATTTAATAAATGGTGGTGGGAAAACTGGATAGCCATATGCAGAAAACAGAAACTGGACCCCTTCTTTACACCTTATACAAACATTAACTCAAGATGGATTAAAGACTTAAATGTAAAACCTAAAACCATAAAAACACTAGAAAAAAAAACCTAAGCAATACCATTCAGGACATAGGCATGAGAAAAGACTTCAAGACTAAAACACCAAAAGTAATTTCAACAGAAGCCAAAACTGACAAATGGGGTCTAATTAACCTAAAGAGCTTCTGCACAGCAAAAGAAACTAGCATCAGAGTGAACAGGCAATCTACAGAATGGGAGAAAGTTTTTGCAATCTACCCATCTGACAAAGGTGTAATATCCTGAATCTACCAAGAACTTAAACAAATTTACAAGAAAAAAACAAACAACACCATCAAAAAGTGGGCAAAGAATATGAACAGACACTTCTCAAAAGAAGACATTTGTGCAGCCAACAAGCATATGAAAAAAAGCTCATCACCACTGGTCATTAGGGAAATGTAAATCAAAACCACAGTGAGATACCATCTCACACCAATCATAATGGTGATTATTATAAAGTGAAAAAACAACAGATGCTGGCGAGGCTGTGGAGAAATAGGAATGCTTTTACACTGTTGATGGGAGTGTAAATTAGTTCAACTACTGTGGAAGACAGTGTAGCAATTCCTCAAGGATCTAGAACCAGAAATACCATTTGACCCAGCAACCCCATTGCTGGTTATATACCCAAAGAATTATAAATCATTCTACTATAAAGACACATGCACATGTATGTTCATTGCGGTACTATTTACAATAGCAAAGACTTGGAACCAACTCAAATGCCCATCAATGATAGACTGGATAAAGAAAATGTGGCACATATACACCATGGAGTACTATGCAGACATAGAAACGCATGAGTTCATGTCCTTTGAGGGGACATGGATGAAGTTGGAAGCCATCATTCTCAGCAAACCAATACAGGAACAGAAAACCAAACACCGCATGTTCTCACTCATAAGTGGGAGTTGAACAATGAGAACACATGGACACAGGGAGGGAAACATCACACACCAGGGCCTGTTGGGAGGTGGGGAGCAAGGGGAAGGAGAGCGTTAGAACAAATACCTAATGCATGCAGGGCTTAAAACCTAGATAATGGTTGATAGGTGCAGCAAACCACCATTGCACATGTATACCTACATAACAAACCTGCACGTTCTGCACATGTATCCCAGAACTTAAATAAAAATAAAATAAAATAAAATAACAAAGTAAAGAAAGAAGGAAATCATGTCATTTGGGACAATGTGGATGAACCTGGGTACTTTATGCTAAGTAAAATAAGCCAGCCACAGAAAAAAAGTAATATCACATGATCTCGCTTACATGAAGAATCTAAAAATGTTGTACTCATACCTGCAGAGAATAAAATGGTGACCACGAGAGGCTGTTGGGGGTAGTGGGGAGAGATTTTGGTTAAGGTATACATGATTTCACTTAAATAAGAGGAATAATTTCAAAAAAATCTATGGGACACCATGATAACTACAGTTAACAACAATGTATTGTATTCTTGAAAATTGAGAAGAGAGTAGATTTTTGTTTTCATTATCAAAAATAAATATGTTAGGTAATTAGGTAATACATATGTTAATTAGCTCAATATAACCATTATATATGCATATTTCAAACATCTTGTTGTACATAATATAAACAATTTTTATTTGTCAATTAAAATAATTAAAAATAGAAAAATAAGATGTAATTAAAACTTTTAAAATTTAATCTTAAAATTAAAATCACTTTAAATTTTTGTTTGTTAATTTTCCTTACCTTCTGTGAGTTTACCAGTAGTACAAAGTTCTATGAAATAACTCTATATCTTAAATCCATTTCCAAATAATTTATTTTTAATAAAAATGTGAATTGCTATCATTTAAGTATGACTTAAATTTAAGCTAACTCAGATCATGGGCAATACATTTAAAAGTAGCAGTATTTGTTAATTTACACTTATATGTTTGACACAGAGTGCTTAAAGTATATAGTTATTTTCTTCTAGTTCTTGAATTTTGCTCATTCATGAAAGCAACCTAACATTGATTTGTGCTACATTTTTCAATGTACTAGAAATAGACTCTTTCATTTCCATGATGGAAACTTACCTTCAATAGTAATTTATGAGCTGCAAATGGGAAACAATGTTGATCTAGATGTTCTCTTGACTTCTTGAAAGGGTAAATATACTATATACATGTCTCTAA
Source organism: Homo sapiens (assembly GCF_000001405.40). Lineage (NCBI taxonomy): Eukaryota > Metazoa > Chordata > Mammalia > Primates > Hominidae > Homo > Homo sapiens. The sequence continues at coordinate 57,243,449 of NC_000002.12, forward strand.
GTGGTATGCCATTATGACTACCTTTAAGAGCTCTGTATTCAATTGGCTAGCTGGTTGTGCTATTCACTAGCTGGGTGATGTTATGCAAGTAGATGAACTTCTCAATATACAATTGGCATAATAATAGTGTCTATTTCATCGAGTCTTTTGAGTATTAATGTGTGTTAATACATGTAAAGAGTGTAGAATTGTGCATGACATATAAGTGTTCATTATTATCAAGTCTAAAATTCTAAATAAATAAAAACTACAAGTTATGGCCATATTCATACGTCTATAATTTCTCATTTACCCTACTTCAAAGAGAAATTTTAAATCAATTCAATTAATTAAAATTTTCTATGAATCTGTTTATTTCATCTTAGTTATCTAATTTATTGGCACATGATTATTCATAGTATTTATTTATGATCTTTCAAAAATTTCTGTAATATCAGACTAATGTCCCTTATTTATGTTCCGACTTTATTAATTTGAGTCTTCTCTTTTTTGACTTGGTAAATCTAACTAAAGGTTTGTAATTTTTGAAAATTTTTCCTAAGAATCAGCTGTCAATTTTATTAAAAGACAAATGCAGCAAACCTACATGGCACAGGTATACCTATGTAACAAACCTGCACGTTGTGCACATGTATCCTAGAACTTAAAGTATAATTAAAAAATAAATAAATTTTAAAAGAGACAAATATATAATGACATGTGCCCACCATTAGAGTATTATACCAGAGTACTGCACTGCCCTAAACATACTCAGTGCTGATTCCTCCCTCCTTTCAAACCCTAGGCAACCACTGATCATTTTGCTCTCTATAGTTTCACTTTTTCCAGAATGTCATGTCATGGGAACTACAAATAAACAGCCTTTTCACATTTGGCTTCTTTCACTTAAAAACATGAATTTAAGGTCCTTCCATGTCTTTCATGGCTTGATGGTATACTTCTTTTTATTGCTAAATAATATTTCATTGTCTGGATGCATTACAGTTTATTCATTTACCTACCAAAAGGCCAACTTGTTTGCTGTCAAGTTTTGACAATTACGAATAAAGTTGCTATAAATATCTGCATGCAGGCCTTTGCACTGACATAAGTTTTCGTATCATTTGAGAAAATATTAAGAGGTATGACTGTTGAATCATATAGTAAGAATCTGTTTAGTTTGGGAAGAAACTGCCACATTATCTTCTAAAGTGGCTTTACTAGTTTGCATTTCTACAAGCGATGAAGGAGAGTTGCTGTTTCTCCATACACTTACAAGCATTTGGTGGTGTTAGTCTTTGGATTTGGTGGTGTTAGTGTTTGGATTTAAGCCATTCTAGTAGATGTGCAGTCGTATCTCATTGTTGGTTTAATTTGCATTTCTCTAATGATGTGATATTTAGTATATTTTCGTGTGTTCATTTGCCATCAGCATATCATCTTTGGTGAGGTATTTCTTTAGGCCTTTGGCCCATTTTTAAAATTTCAATGGCTTTAGGGGTACAGGTGGTTATTGGTTACATGGACAAATCGTATAGTGGTGAAGTCTGATCTGCTTCAATTTTTAATTAGGTCTTCCATTTTATTATTATTAAATTTTAAGAATTTTTTGTACATTTTGGGTAAAAGTTCTTCAATTTTTAATTAGGTCTTCCATTTTATTATTATTAAATTTTAAGAATTTTTTGTACATTTTGGGTAAAAGTTCTTCATCAGAAATGTCTTTCAAAAGTATATTTTCCCATTCTGTGGTTTGTCTTCTTATTCTTTTGCCAGTATTTTGTAGGGCATAAGTTTTTAATTTTAATAAAACTAAATATATCAATTATTTATTTCATGAATTGTGTCTTTGATGTTTCATCCTAAATGTCATCACTATAACCAAGGTTATCTAGGTTTTCTCCTATGTTATCTTCTATAAATTTCATATGTTTGGTTTTATGTATAGGGATATGATCCACTTTGAGTTAATTTTTGTAAAGGATATATGAGCTATGTCTACATCCATGATTTTGTATGTGGTTGTCCAGTTGTGCCAGTACCATTTGTTAAAAAGATTATCATTGCTCCAATGTATTGACTTTACTCTTTTATCAAAGCTAGCTTGATTATATTTATGTGAGTCTATTTCTGGGCTCTGTATTCTGTTCTACTGATCTGTCTGTTTTTTCAACAACACCACATTCCCTTTATTACCATAGAATATAGTAAGTCTTGAAGTTGGATAGCATCAGCCTTCTAACTTTGTTCTCCTTTAATATTTTGTTTGCTATTCTGGGTCTTCAGCTTCTCCATATGAACTTTAGAATAATTTTGGTGATATTTACAGAATAGCTTGCTGAGATTTTAATCAGGATTTTATAAAGTCTATGGATCATTTTGGGAAGAACTGATGTATTGACAATAACCAGTCTTTCTATCAATGAGCATTAAATAGCTCTCTGTTTATTTAGTTCTTATTTGATTCATCAGTGTTTTGTGTTTTTCCTCATATAGATCTTGTACATATTTTGTTAGAGGTGTATTTAATTATTCATTCTTTGTTGTTATGTAAATGGTATTCTTTTTAAATTTCAAATTACAATTGTTCATTACTGATATATAGGGAAGTAATGGATTTATGTATATTAACCTTCTGTCCTTCAACCTTGCTATAATAACTTAATAGTCCCAGGAGATTTTTAGTGTTGTTGTTGAGTCTTTATGGTTTTCTGCATAGACAACCATGTCATCTGCAAATAACAACAGTTTTATTTCTTCCTCTTCATTTTGTATACATTTTATTTCATTTTATTATCTTACTGCATTATCTAGAACTTTCACTAAAATGTTGACAAGGAGTGGTAAGCGGGAACATCCTTGCCCTTTTCCTGATCTTAGCAGGAAAACTTCTAGTTTCTCAAGACTGATGTCCACTAGGTGTGGTGGCTCATGTCTGTAATCTCAGAATTTGAGAGACCAAGGTGGGAGGATTGCTCGAAGTCAGGAGTTTGAGACCAGCCTGGGCATCACAGGGAGACTCTGCCTGTACAACAACAAAATAAAAATAAAAGAGGTAGCTGAGCATAGTGGTGCATGCCTGTAGTCCTAGCTACTCAAGAGTCTGAGTTGGGAGGATTGCTTGAGCTCAGGAGTTCAAGGTTACAGTGAACTATCATCATGCCACTGAACTGCAGCCTGCATGACAGAACAAGACCCATCTCTAAAAATAAAAAAAATTAATGAAAAGATTGATATTAGTTGTAGATTTTTACAGAGGTTATTTATCATTAAGGATGTTTCTTTCTATTCCTAGTTTGCTAAGAGTTTTTATTTTGAATGAGTATTTAATATTGTCTAATGCCTTTTCTGCACCTATTGATAAGGTTATGTGATATTATCTAGCCTTTTGATGTGATGAATTACATTAATTGTTTTTCAAATGTTGGACCATCCTTGCTTACCTGGAATAAATACCATTTGGTCATAGTGTACAGTTTTTTAACTGTTGCTGTATTTGATTTGCCAATCTTGTGTTGAGGATTTATACATCTGTGTTCATGAGAGATGCTGGTCTTTAGTTATTTTTTCTAGTCACTTCCTAGTCATTTCATTAGGTTTTATTATCAGGGTAAGTATGGCCTAATAGAATGAGTTAAGAAGTATTCCTTCTGCTCCTATCTTCTGAAAGGGATTATAGAGAATTGGTATAATTTCTTTCTTAAATGTTGGGTAGAATTCACCAGTAAACTCATATGGCCTTGATGCTTCCTGTTTTGGAAGGCTATTATTGATTCAATTTATTTAATACGCATAATACTATTCAGTTTGTCCGTTTCTTCTTCGGTGAGCTTTGTCAGATTGTGCCTTTCAAGGAATTGTTTAATTTTATCCAGGTTATCAAATTCGTGGGCATAAGGTTGTTTACAATATTTCTGTATTATCTTTTAATGTGCATAGGATTGGTAATTATATCCCCCTGTTTCATTTCTGATATTATTTATTTATATTCTCTCTTTATTTCTTTATTGGCCTGGATAAAGGCTTAATTATTTTATTGGTCTTTGCAAAGAACCAGCTCTTGGATTTGTTAATTTTTGTACAGATTTTCTGTTTTCAGTTTTATTGATTTCTGCTCTATGTTTTAATTCTTTTCCCATATGCTTACTTAGGATTTACCTTTCTTTTTTCTAGTTTCCTAAAGAAGCTTAGATTATTAATTTTAGATGTTTTAAATATATAAATTCAATATTATAAGCTTTTCTCTAATCACTACTCTGCTGCATCACACAATTTTTAATAAGTTGTGTTTTCACTTCCATGTAGTCCCAAATGTGTTTATTTTTAAAATATTTCTACTTTGATCTATGTGTTATTTAGAAGTGTCTTGTTTAATCATCCAGCATTTTGGTATTTTTACAGCAATTTTTCTGTTATTGGTTTCTAGTTTAATTCCATTGTGGTCTGAGAGCATACATTGTAAAAAATATATTCTTTTAAATTTTTTCAGATGTGCTTAATGGCCCAGAATGTGGCCCATTTTTATGCTCATTTGAACTAGACAGAAATGTGTATTCTGTTGTTTGGGGGGTAAAAAAGTTGATAGATACCAATTATATTCAGCTAATTAATGATGTTGAGTTCAACTCTGTCGTTGCTGACTTCCTGACTGCTAGATTAGTTCATTTCTGATAGAAGGGTATGAACATCTCCAATTATAATACTGGATACTTTTTAATTTTTGAAGTTCTATCAGTTTTTGCTTCACATATTTGACACTCCGTTGTTACTTGCATACACATTAAGGATTGCTATGTCTTCTTGAAGAAACGATCCTTTTATCATTACATAATGACCCTTTTCATCCCTGATAACTTTCTGTCCTCCAAAGTTGGCTCTATCTGAAATTAATACAGCTACTCCCTCTTTATTTTGATTAGCTCTAGAAATGTGTATCTTTCTCTGACTCCTTACTTTTAATCTTTATATTTAAAGTGGTTTTCTTGTAGACAACATAGAGTTGGATCCTTTTAGAAAATCTACTCTAACAATCTCTGCTTACTATTTGGTACATTAAAACCATTGATATTCAAAATGACTATTGATATAGTGGGATTAATATTATACATTTTACTATTTTCTATTCATTGTCCACATTTTATGTTTCTATTTTTGTCTTCTACTCTTTGTTCTGCCTTTTGTGGTTTTAATTGAGCATTTTAAGTTTGGTTTTTGGTAACATTAATAGGCAATTAGTGTGGCACATTACAAGTAATAAAATTCCTATTCTTGCACTATTCAAGTAATCATTACCAGTTCTCGAAATAAATAGCCCTTAGTTTCTATGTATTTATCCATGATGTGAGTGCATGTGTGCGTGTGCACACACGCACATACACACGACATTTATGGAAATGTTCCAAAATCATAGAATTGAAAAAAGTTACCATTCCATTCTCTGAATCCACAGAAATTAAATATACACGCTTTCAGAATTATATTCTTTGAGGTATGAACACCCCTGGAAACTTATATTAATATTAATATCCAGGTATCAAAATATTTGCTATCTTCAGTCACACCTGGTAGGACTATAATTACTGTCAATCATTTGGTGGGTGATATAACTTCTAGGAGATTCAGCAAAGTGATGAACCTTGAGAAAAAATATTTCAGTAGTAGCAAGGATTCCAGCAAGTGTATAAGCAGTCATCACAGTTAACACTACCATAGCTTCCATTTCATTTCAAAATGGAGTTACTTCTTTATAAAAAATAATTTTCCAAGTTTCAAATCTGAAATAATTCAACTATTGAATTCTTCATTGAAAGGCTTTCTTCTACCTTCTCCTGCATTCTAAACATACCATGTGTCTACCTATAGCCTAAACATGCTTCCACAATAATCATTGTGAAAATTAGCATGGACAAAGCTCTGAGATTGGGGCTAGAGTGTGCGCTGACTTCAGTTGAGAAGGTTGCTATGAAGGAACTTACATGAAGGTTATAAAAATAGGCTGTGTAAATCAGCAATGTGAGGAAAAAAGCAGTGCCAATAACAACGATATTAATGATAAAAGCTATCATTTATGCAGTGCATTCTAAATATTTCAGAAACAATATTTAATAAAATTCAACAACACCTTTAAGTACCTATTACAATTCTTCTTTTGTAACTGAGAAAACCAAAACTCAACAAGATGAAATCATTTGCCTAAATTCACACAGCTAATAAATTGCAGAACTTGGATTCAGATTCAGTGTATTTCTTTCTGTAGTATGCTATCATTAAGAGCTAAGTCTTCTGATTTCTCCACTCTTTGGTTTATAATTTCTGGACTATTCTTACTAAGTTCCTGCATTTTGGAAAATATAATGTCACTCTGAGGTGAAACACTATAAAACATCTTCCTAATCATTTCCTATTTCCCACTCAAATCTCATCTTGAATTGTAATCCCCATAATCTCCACATGTCAAAGGAGAGACTAGGTGGAGGTAATTGAATCCACGGCGGAAGTTTCCCCCACGCTATTCTCATGATAGTGAGTGAGTTCTCATGAGAGCTGATGGTATTATAAGGGGTTCTTTCCCCTTTGCTCAGCACTTCTCCTTCCTGCCACCTTGTGAAGAAGGTGCCTCTTCCTCTTCACCTTCTGCCATGATTGTAGGTTTCCTGAAGTCTCCCCAGCCATGCTGAACTGTGAGTCAATTAAACTTCTTTTCTTCATAAATTACCCAGACTCAGGTATTTCTTTACAGCAATGTGAGAATGGACCTATACAGTAAATTGGTAACACATTGAGTGAGGTGCTGCTATAAAGATACCCAAAAATGTGGAATCAACTTTGGAACTGGATAATAGAAAGAGATTGGAAAAGTTTGGAGGGCTCAGAAGAAAACAGGAAAATGTGAGAAAGTTTTGAACTTCCTAGAGACTTGTTGAATGGCTTTGACCAAAATTCTGATAGTAATATGGATAATGAAGTCTAGGCTCAGGTGGCTTCAGATGCTGTATGAGTCTATTTTTATACTGCAATGAAGAAATACCCAAGACTGGGTATTTATACAGAAAAAGAAGTTTAATGGGCTCACAGTTTTACGCTGCTGGAGATGCCTCAGAACCATGGCAGAAGGCATAAAAGGAGCAAAGGTATTTTATTACATGGCTGCAGAAAATAAAGCATGTTCAGGGGAGCTCTCCTTCATAAAACCATGAGATCTCATGAGAACTCACTCAATATCACAAGAACAGCATGGGGGAACCGCCCCCATGATTTAGTCACCTCCCATGAGGTCCCACCTCCAAAATCTGAGAATTACAATTCAAATTGCAATTCAAGGTGAGATTTTGGGTTGGGACACAGCCAAACCATATCATTCCACTCCTGACCCCTCCTAAATGTCATGTCCTCACATGTGAAAACACAATCATGCCCTTTCAACAGTACTCCAAAGTCTTAACTCATTCCAGCATTAACCCAAAAGTCCAAGTTCACAGTCCCATCTGAGACAAGTTCCTTCTGCCTATAAAGCTGTAAAATCAAATGCAAGTTATTTACTTCCTAGATACAATGAGGGTACAGACATTGGGTAAGTAAACCTGTTTCAAATGAGAGAAATGGGCTGAAATGAGTGTCTACAGGCCCCATGAAAGTCTGAAATCCAATAGGGCAGTCATTATACCTTAAAGTTCCAAAATGATCTCTTTTGACTTCATGTCTTACATCCAGGTCATGCCAATGCAAGAAGTGGGCTCCCACAGCCTTGGGCAGCTCTGCTCCTGGGGTTTTGCAAGGTACAGTCCTACTCCTGGCTGCTTTCATGGCTGTAGTTGAGTGTCTGTGGCTTTTCCAGGTGCACAGTGCAAGCTGTCAGTGGATCTACAATTGTGGGTGGTGGAGGACAGTGACCCTCTTCTCACAGCTCCACTAGGCAGTGCCCCAGTGGGGACTCTGTTTAGGGGCTCCAACACTACAATTCCCTTTGGCACTGCTCTAGCAGAGGTTCTCCATGAGGGCTCTGCTCTAGCAGCAAACTTCTTCCTGGGTAGTAAGTGTTTCCATATATCCTCTGAAATCTAGATGGAGGTACCATTACCTCATTTCTTGTCTTCTGCTCACCTACAGGATGAACGCCACGTGGATACTGCCAAAGCTTGGGGCTTGCACCCTCTCAAGCCATAGCCCAAGCTGTACCTTGGCTCCTTTTAGTCATGGCTGGGATGCAGGGAACTAAGTTCCAAGACTGCACAAAGCAGCAAAGTCCTGGGCCCAGGATACAAAACCATTTTTTCCTCCCAGGCCTCCAGGCCTGTGATGGGAAGGGCTGCTGTGAAGACCTCTAACATGCCCTGGAGACATTTTCCCCATTGTCTTGGCTATTAACATTTGGCCTCTTTTTACTTATGCAAATTTCTGCAGCCGGCTTGAATTTCTCCTCAGAAAATGGGTTTTTCTTTTTTTATCACATGGTCAGGCTACAAATTTTCCGAACTTGTATGCTCTGCTTTCCTTTTAAACATAAGTTCCAATTGCAGACCATCTCTCTTAATTTCAAAGTTCCACAGATCTCTAGGGCAGGGGCAAAGTGCCTCCAATCTTTTTGCTAATGCATAGCAAGAATGACTTTTGTTCAAGTTCCCAGTAAGTTCCTCATCTCTATCTGAGACCACCTCAGCCTGGATTTTTTGGTCAAAACCATTCAACAAGTTTTTAGGAAGCTCCAAACTTTCCCATATCTTCCTGTCTTCTTCTGAGCCCTCCAAACTGTTCCAACCTCTGCTGTTACCCACTTCCAAAGTCGCTTCCACATTTTCTGGTATCTTAATAGCATCACCACACTCTACTTGTACTGATTTACTGTATTAGTCTATTTTCATACTGCTGTGAAGAAATATCAGAGACTGGGAAATTTAATTAAAAAAGGATGTTTACTGGACTCACAGTTCCACATGGCTGGGGAGGCCTCACAGTTATGGAAGAAGGCAAAGGAGGAGCAAAGGCACATCTTACATGGCTGCAGGCAAGGGATCATGTGGAGGGGAACTGCCCTTTATAAAACCATTCAGATCTCATGAGAACTAACTCACTATCACAAGAACAGCAGAGGGGAATTGCCCCCATGATCTAATCACCTCCCACAAATGCCTGCCCACAACGCTTGGGGATTACAATTCAAATTATAATTCAAGATGAGATTTTGAGTGGGGATACATTCAAACCATATCAGATGGAAATGAGAAACTTATTGGGAACTGGAGCAAAGGTCAACTCTTGCTAGGCTTTAGCAAAGAGACTGGCAGCATTTTGCTCCTAGAAACCTGTAGAACCTTGAACTGGAGAGAGATGATATGAAATTGGAACTTATGTTTAAAAGGAAAGCAGAGCATAAAAGTTTGAAAACTTTGCCGTTTGATAATGCGATAGAAAAGAAAAATCCATTTTCTAGGGAGATATTCAAGCTGGCTGCAGAAATTTGCATAAGTAACGAGAAGCCTAATGTTAATAGCCAAGACAATGGGGAAAATGTCTTCAGGGCATGTCAGAGACCTTTGTGGCAATCCCTCCTATCATAGGCCTGGAAGCCTAAAAGGAATTGTGTACTGCGATGGGACCAAGGCCTCACTGCTGTGTGCAGCCTGGGAACTTGGTGCCCTGCATCCCAGCCACTCCAGCCCTGGCTAAAAGGGGCCAACTTATAGCTCAGATCATTGCTTCAGAGAGTGTAAGTCCCAAGTTTTGGCAGCTTCCATGTTGTCTTGGGCCTGTGGGTACACAGAAGTCAAGAACTGAGGTATGAGAACCTCCCCCTAGATTTCAAAGGATGTGTGGAAACACCTAGATGTCAAGGCGGAAGTTTGCTTCAGAGGCAGAGCCCTCATGGAGAATTTCTGCTAAGGCAGTGCAGAAAAGAAATGTGGGATTGGACCCCCCACACAGAATCCCCCCTGCGGCACTGCCTGGTGGAGCTGTGAGAAGAAAGCCACTGTCCTCCAGACCCCAGAATGGTAGATCCACCAACAGCTTGCACCATGCATCCAGAAAAGCCACAGACACTCAATGCCAGACCATGAAGTCTTGGAGTCCCAACTCCAAGAAGTTGGGAGTGTGGCTGTATCCTGCAAATCCACAGGGCAGAAACGTCCAAGGCCATGGGAGCCCACCTTTTGCATCAATATGACCTGGATGTGAGATATGGAGTCAAAGGAGATCATTTTGGAGCTTTAAGATTTAACTGCCACACTGGATTTTGGACTTGCATGCAGCCCGTAGCCCCGTCTTTTTGGTCAATTTCTTCCATTTGGAATGGGTGTAGTTACCTAATACCTGTACTCCCATTGTATCTAGAAAGTAACTAACTTGCTTTTGATTTCACAGGTTCATAGGTGAAAGAAACTTGCCTTATATCAGATGAGACTTTGGAATTGGACTTCGACTTCTGGGTTAATGCTGGACTTAAGACTTTGAGGGACCATTGGGAAGGTATAATTCGTTTTGAAATGCGAGGACATGAGATTTGGGAGAGGCCAGGGGAGGAATAATATGGTTAGGTTTTGTGTCCTCCTCACCAAAATCTCATGTTGAATTGTAATCCCCAAAATCCCCACATATCAAGGGAGAGACCAGGTGGGGGTAATTGAACCATGGGGAAGTTTCCCCCATGCTGTTCTTGTGATTGTGAGTTCTCATGAGATCTGATGGTATTATAAGAGGCTCTTCCCCCTTTTCAGCACTTCTCCTTCCTGCTGCCTTGTACAGAAAGGGACTTGCTTCCCCTTTGCCTTCTGCCATGATTCTAAGTTTCCTGAGGCCTCCTCAGTAATGCTGAACTGTGAGTTAAACCTCTTTCCTTATAATTCACCCAGTCTCAGGTATTTCCTTATAGCAACGTGAGAATGGACTAATACATTTTATATTTCACACATTCTCCCAATTTATTTTTCACTGAATACCAGTGATGCCTTCTGCTTAGGACTCCTATCTAGATATATTGTAAGAGTATGGTAAAATATTAGGTTGAATGATTTATAAAAAGCAATCAGAAGCCCTTAGCTCTCTTGAGACACATGTCAATCATGTATTCCAAAAGTTGTTTTAGAAAACAAATTAACCATTTTCATGTAATTTATACTATCACTATTTTTCTTCCTTTCTGCTGTCTTTCACATGAGTCCATTTCTTCTCATTCCTACTGCCACCACCTCTTTTAGTCTGTCATTACATAACACATGGATGGTGGCAATTACTATGCAACTAGATTATATTTGTTTCTATTTCTCCTCATTACAATTTATCCTGAACATAATGTGTATTAGTCCATTTTCACACTGCTGATAAAGACATACTCAAGACTGGGCCATTTACAAAATAAAGAGGTTTATTGGACTCACAGTTCTATGTGCCGGGGGATGCCTCACAGTCATGGCAGAAGGTGAAAGGCACATCTCACATGGTGGCAGACAAGAGAAGGAGAGCTTGTGAAGGGAAACTCCCATTTTTAAAACCATCAGATCTCCTGAGACTCATTCACTGTCACAAGAACATTGCAAGAAAGACCCACCCCATAATTCATTCATCTCCCACCAGGTTCCTCCCATAACATGTGGGAATTGTGGGAGTTACAATTCAAGATGGGATTTGGGTGGGGACACAGCCAAACCTATCATAATGCCACAACAATCTTCCTAATGCAACAACCTGAGGTGGTCAACAGTGTTCTATAGCTCTCTATTACATTCAGCATAAAGTCTGAACTCCTTAACTTGATAGGAGATCAAACTCAAATGTTCAATTAGCATAAAAGAAAAAACAAATGACTTTAAAAAACAGACGGGGAAATAATTGAAAAAGCTTCTGGTTGGAATAAAATGTGTGCCATATTGTTGAAGCAAATTGGCAAATTTTAGCAAATAATAAAAACTATACAAAGCATCTGATCAAGAATTTTATGGGCTGAATTGTGTTGCCCTAAAAATGTATATGTTGTATAAATTTTGTATACAAATATATGTGTTGAAGTCTTACCACCTATTACCTCAGAATGTGACTGCATTTGAAGATAGGGTCTTTGGTAAGTTAATAAGTAATCATTGGTGGGTTTTAATTTAATATGAACCTTGTTCTGATAACAAGAGGAGATTAGGACACAGACATGCACAGAGGGAGGATCATGTGAAGACACAGGGAGAAAAATGCCATATAAAAGCCAGGATGAGAGGCCTCAGAAAACGTCAACTCTGGCAACAACTTGATCTCTGATGTTCAGCATTTAGAACTGTGAAAAATAAGTTTATATATATTGTTCTAGCCTCCTAGTCTATGGTACCTTTTTATGGCACCCCTATCAAACTAATGCAAACATGTTGTTAAAGGAATTCATTAATACTTACAAAAATGGAAAAAGATAAATGTGTTTAGGATTGCCAATTGAGTTTTGGGGGTAATGTCTAAAAAATAGAAAATAATAAACTTTATACATAGATGTATTTAGTGCCACAAACAGAAAAAAATAAAATATATGGAAAGAGGTTCTTATTAATAAAAGAAAAAAACTTTAGAACGATATATAAAAATCTCAATTGCCTACATTATAATAATAAAATGCCTTCTAAGGTTATTTTGTTTATTTTATTTGCACGTTGTCTTGAATATAATAGTTTTTAATGGTGCCAAAGCTTACAACTCATTTTAAAATAGAAATTCACTTTATAAAGATAATGTTCCCAGTTGTATAGGCTCTTTCTACTTTTAGCCTCTAGAAAGAGGTGAGTTTTAGAAAATCTTTCTGACTGTATGATATTTTTAATGTCTATAATCTTTTAAAGCATCATATACATTCTTCAACATTTTATAATCTTTTCTAAATATTTTACTCCTATATTCATATTCTCTTTATTTTGACCAAGATCAATTTATTTTTCTCTTAAGGCTGAAATGCTCTGCTTCTTCTACAGGTGAAGTGTTTGCAAGAAACTAAAACATAACCTGAGGAAATCCAGAAGTATATGTCTACTTTAATGTGTTTTCAGCACAGTGGGTGATGTTTGAGTTACTAGTGCAATCAAAAACCATGTAATAACCCATCTACTTCCTTAAGTCTAAACTCAGACTACCACCTCTTTAACAAAGACCCTGTTTCCTTATAATGCTTTCCCTAGCATCTCAAACAATATTTGACACATTATTAGTTAAATGAAGAAATAAATAAGCTTTGTTGATTTATTTTCAAATTGTCCACAAATTTTATTAAGCAAATATTATATGCTCAGGACTAAAATAGTTGATGCAGGAATATTTTTAAAACAATTTCTACAATTTCAATACAAATAATTTGTTATCTCAATTTAGAGTTTTTTTAATGGATATGAAACAATGGGTGAAAAGAAAAAAGGAAAAATTTTGTCATTCAGGCTATAAATGCTGAAGGACCTTTGTGTTTAAACTGTGATCCATGAACCAGCAACATCAACATCATCAGAGAAGGCATTAGACATGAGGACTTTCAGGACCTATCCCAGTCCTATAAAAATAGAATCTGTATTTCAGAAGACCTTGAAGTTATTTGTATGCACATTGATGTTCAAGAAATATTCCTGAAGGATATAAAATAATATAAATATTAAATAGGTGTCCAAGAAAGTCAAGAAAGACCTCACACAGAGGATACTCAGTGTTGTGACATAACTATATAATTATTAAGAATGGAGGTGTTTATGAACTGTGAGAACAGTCTAAACATGAACTGAAGTTGTACAAAATTGGTGGTTTTTTCTTGTATATAATTTATATTAAGCTAAATAGTGTATTTATATATATGGGAAATAGAACAGTAATGATCCTTATTCCATGCTTTTCATGATGCAACCATCTATTTTAATATCTTTAATACTCCCTTGTCTGAAACGTTTAAATTGATGTGAACAGCAGTTAGACATTAATTTAAGATTTCATCAATTGCATTGTATAATTTGTTGTGAAATTCATGAAGACACAACAATGTAAAGGAGATGATGATGATCTTAATGTTGGCATAGAAAAGTCAGGAACTTCAAGTCCTCTGAAACTTTCTATTGTCCATTAATCTTTCAAGATCATTTTCTAGATGAACGAGAAATTTTCATTCATTTCAGAGACTTGAATCACAGAGGAAGACAGAAGATAGAGATCAATTCATAGTGACTAAGTGTTATTTTTGAACTGTTCTTATTTCTATATTCATATTATCTTTTCACAGATTGAATATTTTTTACAAATGATCTTAAAGTAATGGCCATTTAGAATTCTCTGCTCACTTGATTAAAGACAACATGAGCTGTTAAAAATAATTTAACCAGTTACTTGCTAAATAGAATTGCATGCTAGTTTAGCAATATAGTGTGATGACATAGCAGTTCATAAAGGCAATGTCAACTTGCACATGCTAATTGTGGATAATAATGAGTAGATAACACAAAATCAAGAATTCAAAATCTCTTCTTTTGTATCTATCTGTCATTGAAGTTTGGAAAATGATATTTTAAGAGTTTAATACCTTTCCAAACTGCTTTTGTAAAGTTGTACTAAAATGAAAATTTAATTTCAAATTAATATTATAGTTTAGTGGTTACTGGAAATGTATATAGAGGGCCTGGATAGATAGGATGGAGAGTTTAAATTGGAATAAAAATGTTTGGGTCATTTTAATAGCAATTATAATAATTTTATCATTACATTAAGTATATGTATGTTTATAGATTTAAAATAATCTCTAACATAAGATCTTGATTGATAGAAATCACATTGAGGTTCTATAAGGATGTTAAAAAAGATGCTATAATTCCCGTGTATGCTTCATACTTGGAAAGAAAATGATTACATACTGATGAAGTCCCAAATTTTCAATAGTTAAGGTTTCAAGTTTTTTTATTTATCATATTAGCTTTTCTGCGGAATACAGTTTTAAAGTTTAGCTTTTGCTATTATAAATTAAGATTGCTTTATTTGTTATGGTTTTTGTCTATACATTGAGTTTATAACAGATATTAATGTTGAGATTTGGGGAATTTTTAAATGAAATACAGATATTTTAGTTTTCAGCCCTCAATCTTTGGTATTATATAGTAAGAATTACTTCTTAATTAGCTACTTTAAATAGAAATAAAATTGCACTTAACCTCTAGCATTTAACTCTCTGCTAAAATATTATATTGATATGGCAGACATTAACTTTCTAAGCATTCATCAAGTAATCTGCATTCCTTTAGTTGAGATAAAACGATACTATAATTCCATAATAACAGAAGTAATATGTTATTAATCATGAATTATATAAATTAGGAGCTATGACAAGAAAATAAGGCTTATTTTAATATAAGCTTTCTTAAAGCTAAACTCAGAATGAAAAACCAACTGGGCATTGCATTATAAATTATCTTGATGTCTTCCCTTTTGTGGAATTTATACATTTTAAATGTAAGGCTTTACATTCTTGTAAAACTCTGTGGGCTCTCCTCTCTGCATACTCCAATCCCCAGTTGTCCCGCAGAACTGAGAGGAAGGCTCTGATATCCCAGAATCTAACAATTAAAAATGAAAAGAAAAACAAAAAAAGGAAGCCCCTTTGGGAAGCAAAATGTGGAAGATAAGTAGTAGCTTAGAAAAAAAGATGTTACTGATGGAAAATGGGGATAGAAACACTTTCTGTCCTTCTCTGTTGTTTCATTCCACATTTTCCTATGTAAATAATTGCCTATCTTATTGTCTAATTACAAGTTAAGAAAGAAGGAATGCCAGACTGTGATAGCCAGGTTGGCAGAGAAACATCAGGGCATCCTTGAATCCCAGCATCACTAAAATTAAGATGAGCTGGCCCAAACTTGAGAATTTGTTCTTCTACATCCTCCATAAGGTTGAAACAAAGCTCTATTCTGTATTATTTATCTGAAGCTCTCTTGTCACCCTATTTCCTAAACATCAGGAGCAGACTCAAGCTATGCCATAGGGTTTGGCATTTTCCCAGTGATAACATTGTTGATCACAAAAGCTTAAAATTGCAAGTAAATATGAGCTGAATGTTGAAAATAGTAAGTCACCAGGAAAATCTTATGCACTATGAAGGGCAAACAAGAAACTTAGCAGTGCATAACACAGTACCCTGTGAAACAGAGTTTGGGCAAAACTTACATTCTAATACTTTTGTAATGTGCAATGCAATGTGAGTGATGGAAAGGGGAGGTGAGGCAGGGAAGTGCAGGAAGCTACGTGCATTACCACGCTGGCCACTGCTTTATACCAAACCACGATAATACTTACCCTTCATAAGTTCCCTCTCTACTAAGAAGATGAAAATGGCATTTCATGTCTCTGATGTTAGTGTCAGCTCAGACTTCACATCAAACAGTCCTCAAAATGTTTTCAAATTCAAATGGCTGCAGATATTCATAGATATTGATGGAAATATTAGAAAATACACTTTAAATGGTGGTGACAGCACCCTTAAGGGTGAAAAAATGGGTACTTGCTGTATATATTTATACACAAACACATATATATATATACACATACATATACATACCTCTTGCTTAAGTATACACACACACACATATCTTGCTTAAGTATATATACATCTTAAGCGTGTGTTTGTATATACACAGTTATGACCAGCTACAGAATTTGTGATGCCCTGAGCAAAATGAAAATGTAGGGAACCTTATTTAAGGAAAATAATGCCACTAAGTAAACTTTTTCCTGCCTTCTCCAGTCTAGATTTTTACTAATCATGGTGGTTATTTGCTATATAATGCCATTCAAAATAAAGAAAAACTAAAAATTAAGAATTTTAGATGGATTTTTGCCATACATTTTTGTACTGTGGAATGACAGCTTTAAATTCCAATATGAGACCATTTACCTCATGTGAAATCTCTAAAATTACACGTTTTTGTTGTTGTTGTTTTGTTTTTGAGAAGGAGCCTCACTCTCTCACCCAGGCTTGAGTGCAACTGGGCGATCTCTGCTCACTGCAACCTCCACCTCCCGGGTTCAAGCGATTCTCCTGCCTCAGCCTCCCAAATAGCTGGGATTACAGATGCATGCCGCCATGCCTGGTTAATTTTTTGTATTTTAGTAGAGACGGGGTTTCACCGTGTTGCCCAGGCTGGTCTCCAACTCCTGAGCTCAGGCAATCCACCCACCTCAACTTCCCAACGTGCTAGGATTATAGGCATGAGACACCGCACCGGGCCAAAATTACACGTTTTTATAGCTCACACATACATGTGTTTCTCTTTTGCTAGAACACAGAAATATTGCACAAAACACACTTGACTTTTTATTTTACTTTTTTATATGTGTACATTCTAATAACTCTAATTTTGATTTACTGGTGAAGAAAAAAGGACTAAAAGAAAAGGGAACAATAGACTTAGGCTGCTATAACTTTCTCTTTTCTTTCTTTCTTAATTTTTTTTCTTTTTTTTTTTTTCTTTTGAGACGGAGTTTTGCTCTTGTTGCCCAGGCTGGAGTGCAATGGTGCGATCTCAGCCCACGGCCCACTGCAACCTCCACCTCCCGATTTCAAGCAATTCTCCTGCCTCAGCCTCTCCAGTAGCTGGGATTACAGGCCCTCGCCACCACAACTGACTAATTTCTTCTATTTTTAGTAGAAACGGGGTTTCGCCATGTTGGCCAGGCTGATCTCGAACTCCTGACTTCAGGTGATCCACACACCTCGGCCTCCCAAAATGCAGGGATTACAGGCGTGAGCTGCCGCTCCTGGTCTCCGTTTTCTTTCATGTCTTCATTATCTGTATAAGCAATTAGCTAATGCAGGAAAGTAACATGGGTACTCGTTTGTTTCTTAGAATGCTACTGAATTCTTTCCAATCTGGAAGCAAGTTCTGGTTCAGACAGAAAGCATGATGTTGGGATTGTCAGTGATACTCTTCCTCCTCCTGTTATGTTCTACTTACTTTGTCTTACTGAATTCACATGCATAGTGGGTCCACTGGATTTCTGTGTTCATATTGAACACCAAGAAAATGGTTAGCACCCCTCATTGCTCTATCCCCTCAAGGTGCCACATGTATTCTCCTAGTTATTACTTGTGTATAGTTTGAGAATCTATGATTCCTTTGGACTATAGGCTTTTTTCTTTTTTCTAGACAAGTGTTTAACTTATTCTTCACTACAAAGGCAATGCTCAGACGTGGCACTGTTTGTAGGCAGTGAGGGGTGTAGGGCCTGCCTTGAAAAGAATAACTGTCATATTGCAAGGTATATACTTCAGTTGAGATCATTATATGATTTCCAGGCCAGAGGAATTTTTCTTCTCAGTCAAGGAGAAAGAAAATGCTTATGCGGACAGGAGGGTTTAGGAAAATTTGCGCATTCAAATATTCTCAGACATAGCCACTCAAGTGTTCCCATCACAGAACTCAGAATCCAGTATTTTTTTTTACTCTTCATTTGTACTAAGAGACCTTTTTACTCTTCATTTGTACTAAGAGGCTATGCACTTGATGTGCTTTGTAACTACATATTTGATACCTTTGAAACTATATAATTGCTACCTTTATATTAAGGTCTTGATCAGGATTTCCAGCATATCAACTCTGAATCTGTAGTAGTTAAGGTTATTTACAGTTGCTATGGAAGCACCCTGATTTTCAGAGTGCTGCTAGCTATCTAGGAAACAATCAACCTAATCTTTGCATTATTTTTCTTTTATAAGTTCTCTAATCCTCTCAAAAAGAACTATCCTACTTTCCAATCCTTACAGTTATTGCTTCCATAATATTTATCCCATGGCTACTTGATTTCCCAAAACCTTCCCTTCCCTTTGTATCTCACTTGAATTAACCACTTGTGAAAGGTTAAGGTATTGCAATGCTACTGAGTGCCAGTTTACCACTCCACTTACCAGAGTACTGGAATTTCTATTGCTTTCATATAAGTAGAAAATATGCCCCCAACCTGAGATTATGCTTTCTGGAAAGACTTCATTGATTTAGCCCAGGCTTTCAAGAAAACAGCGGTTTTTTTGGCTTATACATATATGTGATAAAGCTTTGTTGAGAAATACAATTCCAATGCAGTATGAATGAAGAGAAAGAAAAAAGGAAGAAAGTAGGTAAGGATGGAAAGCAAATACAATATAGTGGATCTTTGCGATGACCACTGTTTGACAGCAAGCCATCAAAGGGCATGCTCTTGACTCCCACTGAATTTTCCAGATACCTCATGTAATGCCTATAATTTGAAATATACCAACAGACAAAGGAAGGGAGTGGAAATTTGTGTGCTAGATTTTTTCTATCTCTTATTGATAAAATGTTTACCAAAAAAAGTCAACTCTGAGGTCTCTCTTCTGTTCCATTGGTCTATATATCTGTTTGGTACCAGTATCATGTTGTTTTGGTTACTGTAGCCTTGTAGTAAAGTTTGAAGTCAGGTAACATGATGCCTCCAGCTTTGTTCTTTTCACTTAGGATTGTCTTGGCTATATGGGCTCTCTTTTGGTTCCATGTGAATTTTAAAATAGTTTTTTTCTAATTCTGTGAAGAATGTCAATGGAAGTTTAATGGAAATAGCATGGAATCTACAAATTACTTTGGGCAGTATGGCCATTTTCACAGTATTGATTCTCCCTATCCATGAGCATGGAATTTTTTCCCTTTTATGTACATCCTCTCTTGTTTCCTAGAGCAGTGGTTTGTAGCTCTCCTTGAAGTGGTCCTTCATGTCCCTTGTATGCTGCATTGCTAGGTATTTTATTCTCTTTGCAGTAATTGTGAATGGAAGTTCATTCACGATTTGGCTCTCTGCTTGTTTGTTGTTGGTATAGGAAAGCTGGTGACTTTTGCACATTGTTATTGTATCCTGAAACTTTGCTGAAGTTGCTTATCAGCTTAAGGACTTTCTAGGCTGAGACGATGGGTTTTCTAAATATAGAATCATGTCATCTGGTAACAGAGACAATTTGACTTCCCCTCTTCCTATTAGAATATGATTTATTTATTTCTCTTGCCTAATTGCCATGGCAGGAACTTCCAATACTATGTTGAATAGGAGTGGTGAGAGAAGGCAATTATCTAATCTTCAATAAACCTGATAGAGACAAGCAATGGGGAAAGGATTCCCTATTTAATAAAAGGTGCTGGGAAAACTGGCTAGCCTTATGCATAAAACTGAAACTGGATCCCTTCCTTACACCTTATACAAACATTAACTCAAGATGGATTAAAGACTTAAATGTAAAACCTCAAACCATAAAAACCCTAGAAGAAAACCTGGGACATACCATTCAGGACATAGGCATGGGAGAAGACTTCATGACTAAAACACCAAAAGCAATTGCAACAAAAGCCAAAATTGACAAATGGGATCTAATTAAACTATGGAGCTTCTGCATAGCAAAAGAAACTAGCATCAGAGTGAACAGGCAAGCTACAGAACTGGAGAAAATTTTTGCAATCTATCCTTCTAACAAAGGTCTAATACACAGAATCTACCAAGAACTTAAACAAATTTACAAGAAAAAAACAAACAATACCATCAAAAAGTAGGCAAATTATATGAACAGACACTTCTCAAAAGAAGACATTTATGCAGCCAACAAACACATGAAAAAACGCTCATCATCACTGATCATTAGAAAAATGCAAATCAAAACCACAATGAGATACCATCTCACACCAGTCAGAATGGCGATTATTAAAAAGTCAAGAAACAATAGATCCTGGTGAGGCTGTGGAGAAATAAGAACAGTTTTACGCTGTTAGTGGGAGTGTAAGTTAGTTCAACCATTGTGGAAGACAGTGTGGTGATTCCTCAAGGATCTAGAACTAGAAATAACATTTGACCTAGCAATCTTGTTACTGGGTATATACCCAAAGGAATATAAGTCTTTCTACTATAAAAACACATGCACATGTACGTTTACTGCAGCACTATTTACAATAGCAAAGGCATGGAACCAACTCAAATGCCCCTCAATGATAGACTGGATAAAGAAAATATGGTACATATACACAATGGAATACTATGCAGACATAAAAAAGAATGAGATCATGTCCTTTGCAGGCACATGGATGAAGCAGGAAGCCATCATCCTTAGCAAACTAACACAGGAACAAAAAACCAAATACTGCATGTTCTCACTTAAAAGTGGGAGTTGAACAATGAGAACACATGGACACGGAGTGGGAAGAACACAGACTGGAGCCTGTTGGGGGGTGGGAGGCAAAGTAAAGGAGAGCGTTAGGACAAATATCTAATGCATGCAGGGCTTAAAAACATATATAATGGGTTGATAGGTGCAGCAAACCACCATGGCACATATATACCTATGTAACAAACCTGCACGTTCTGCACCACATTTATCCCAGAACTTAAAGTAAAAAAAAAAAAAAAAAAGTCAACTCCCCATGTACTTCAAGGTTTTGTCACCTGGCCTTTTCACCAGCTGCTTAAAAATCTATACCACGTATCTTTAGGTGTGGCATCTCACTTGAATCCAGAAGTCAGGAAAAGCCAGAAACTATTAGTATGCTGATGGTCTATCTTGGGCACTAAGCAACATGGCTATAATGAATCTCTCACCTTAAAGGCAGCTGAAATAATGGAGCAATTAGTCAAGGGTCTCAGAGACACCATGGCCAAGAGGATCTGATTATTTAGAGTAGGCTGAATTAAATGACCTGTCAAAGAAAGACTTCAAATAGAGGACAAAGAATATACTGAGATAAATAAAATAATATTGGAAACACGAAATGACAGCAGGCAGTTATTAAAATGAACTCATGAGAGATAATGATTTGGAGAAGTATAAATGCTAAATTTAAAAAAAATGGATGAGTTGACAGACACATCTTATAAGAAATATTGAAGAGAGTTTTTCAATATGAAAGAAAAGTACACTAGTGTGGAAAAAGAAAACATTTGAAGGTATAAAACCACTAGTAAACGTGAGTAGACAAACTCAGGATATTCTAATAATGTAATTGTGTATAATCTACTCATATCTATAACATTAAGAGAAAAAGGCAAATCTATTTAAAAAAATAGCAACCATAGCAACTTGTTAAGAGACAGACAAAATTTAAAGTTGAAAATTGAGACTAGAAAAGTCAAAACAGGGGGACGGAGTTTAAGTGTAGAAAATTTTCTAGTTTTTCCTCTGTTTAATTTCTTTGTGATCATAGATAAGGTCTCATCTGTTTAAAATGAGTTGTTATATCTATAAGTTTTTTTGTAAGTCTCATGGCAATCATAAAGCAAAAACATATAATAGATACACTAAAAATAAAAACCAACAAAATAAAACATACTACCAGAGAAAATCCCTTAATAAAAACGATAACAATAAGAAAGAAAGATAGGAAGAGAGGAACTACAAAACAAGCAAAAAACAACTAACAGAATGATAGTAGTATGTCCTTATCTATAATAATAACATTAAATGTAAATTGACTAAATTCTCCAATTAAGAGACATAGATTAGCTGAATGGATAGTTTTTAAAAGAGCCAACTATATGCTGCCTACAAGGAACTCACTTCACCTATAACAACACACATAGGCTGAAAGTGAAGAGATGGATGAAAACTTCCATGCAAATAAACACTAAAAAAGAGTGGGAGTAGCCATACGTATACCAGGTGTATTAGTCCATTTTCACACTGCTATAAAGAATTACCTGAGTCTGGGTACTTTATTTAAAAAAAAAAAGGTTTAATTGACTCACAACTCCACAGGCTTAAAAGGAATCATGACTGAAAGGCCTCAGGAATCTTACAATCATGGCAGAAAGTGAAGGGGAAGTAAGCATATGTAATGACAGTGGAACAGGAGAGAGACAGAGCAAAAAGGAAAGTGCCACACACTTGTAAACCATCAGGTATAATAAGAACTCACTCATTATCATAATAACAACAAGGGAGAAATCCACCACTATGATCCAATCACTTCCCACCAGGCTCCTCCTCCAATTCAACATGAGATTTGGGCAGGGACAAAAACTCAAATCATATCATTCCACCCTGGCCCCTCACAAACCTCATGTCCTTCTCACATTGCAAAATACAATGAACCCTTCTCAACAGTCTCTTAGTCTTAACTCATTTCAGCATTAACTCGAAAGTCTAAGTCCAATGTTTCATCTGAGACAAGGCAATTTGCTCCTGCCTATAACCCTATAAAATAAAAAACAAGTTAGTTACTTGAAGATACAATGGGAGTTCAGGCATTGGGTAAACACTCCCATTACAAAAGGAAGAAATCAACCAAAATAAATGGGCTACAGTCCAGGCCCCATGCAACTCCAAAACGCAGCAAGGCAGTCATTCAATCTTAAATCTCCAAAATAATATTATTTGACTCCATGTCTCACATCCAGGGCACACTGAATGCAAGGAGTGGGCTCCCATATACTTGGGCAGCTTCGCCCATATATCTCTGCAGGGCTCAACTCCCATGGCTGCTCTCATGAATGCCTGCAGCTTTTCCAGGTGCACGGTGCAAGCTGTCAGTGGATCTAGCATTCTGGTCGATGGTCACCCTCTTCTAACAGCTCCACTAGGCAATGGTACAGTGGGGACTCTGTGTGTGGGCTCCAACCCTCATTTTTCCTCCCTACTCCCCTATTGGAGGTTCTCCATGAGAGCTCTCCCACTGAAGCTGACTTCTGCCTGGACAGCCAGGCATTTCCACACATCCTGTGAAATCTAGGCACAGACTTCCAATCTTTTGCCTTCTGTACACCTGCAGGCCCAACACCACATGGAAGTAACCAAGGTGTGGGGCTTGCACCCTCTGAAACAACAGCCCAAGCTACACCTTGGCCATGTTTAGCCACCGCTAGAGCTGGAGTAGCTGGGATGTAGGGCACCATGTCCTGAGGCTGCACAGAGCAGCTGGGCCCTCGACCTGACCCACAAAACTATTTTTCTCTCCTAGGTTTTCAGGCATCTGATGGGAGAGGCCTCCATGAAGATCTCTGAAATGCCATGAAGATATTTTCCCCATTGCTTTGGCTATTAACATTCAGCTTCTCATTACTTATGCAAACATCTGCATAAAGCTTGAACTGCTCCCCAGAAAATGGATTTTTCTTTTCTACTTCATGGTTGGGCTGCATATATTTCAAACTTTTATGCTCTGCTTCCCTTTTAAATACATGTTCCAATTTCAGGCCATGTCTTTCTTCACACATATGAGCATACACTTTTAGAAACAGCCAGATCATATATTGAATTCTTTGCTGCTTAGAAATTTCTTCCACCAGACACCCTAAATTATCTCTCTCAAGTTCAAAGTTCCACAGATTTTTAAGGCAGTGGCAAAATACCCCTAGTCTCTTTGCTAAAGCACAGCAAGAGTCACCTTTGCTTCTGTTCCCAACAAATTCCTCATCTCCATCTGAGACCAGCTCAGCCTGGACTTTTTGGTCAAAACCATTCAATCAGTCTCTAGGAAGCTCCAAACTGTTTCAACATCTGCCCATTACCCAGTTCCAAAATCACATCCGCATTTTCAGGCATCTTTATAGCAATGCCCCAATCCTGATACCAATTCTCTGTGTCAGTCCATTTTCACACTGCCATAAAGACATACCCAAGACGGAGTCATTTATGAAGAAAGAGGTTTAATTCACCACAGTTCCATAGGCTTAAAAGAAATCATGATTGGGAGACCTCAGGAAACTTACAACCACAGAGGAAGGCAAAGGGGAAGCAAGCACTTCTTAACATGAGAGAGCAGGATAGAGAGAGAGAGCAAAGGAGGAAGCGCTACACACTTTTAAACCATCAG
This sequence comes from Homo sapiens, assembly GCF_000001405.40. NCBI lineage: Eukaryota > Metazoa > Chordata > Mammalia > Primates > Hominidae > Homo > Homo sapiens. The sequence continues at coordinate 57,268,195 of NC_000002.12, forward strand.
AGCTCATGAGAACTCACTCTCTATCCAAGAACAGCAAGGAAGAAATCCACCCCCTCCTACCAGGCCCCTCCTTCAATTCAGCATGGAATTGGGCAGGAATACAAATCCAAACCATATCATCAGGTAAAATAGATTACAAGTCAAAGACAATGAAAAGAGACAAAGAAGGTTACCGAAATAATGATAAATGGGTCAATTCAGCAAGATAATATAACAAGTATAAATTTATATGTGCTCAACAGCAGAGGACCCAAATAATTAAAACAAACATTGCTAGATCTAAAGGAAGGAAAAGGCTGCAATACAGTAATAGTAGGGGAATTCAACAACCCACAGTCAGTAATAGATTATCTTTACAGAAACTCAGCAAAGCACTGGAGTAAAACTATACATTAAACCAAATGAACCAATCATTTATGAAACATTTCAACCAACTACTTCAGAATTCACATTCTTCTCATTAGCACAGGAAATATCCTTCAGAATAGACCATATGTTAAGTCACAAAACAAGTTTCAACAAGTTTAACAATATCAAAATTAAATCAAACATCTTCTTAGACTGAAATGTAGTAACACTAGAAATCAATAACAAGAGGAACTTTGGAAACTATACAAACACATGGAAATTGAAAAAAAAATAAAAGAAAATATGCTCCTAAACAACTATTGGGTCAATTAAGAAGTTAAAAAGAGAATTAAAAAATTTTTTTGAAACAAATGAAAATGGAAACCCAACATACAAAAATATATGAGATACAGAAAAAGCAGTAATAAGAGGGAAGTTTATAGCAATAAATGTCTACATAAAAAAGTTAAAAGCCTGCAAATAAACAACCTAATGATGCACGTCAAAGAACTAGAACAGCAAAGACATACCAACTCAATATTAGTGGAATAAAGTAAAAACAAAAGTCAGAGCAGAAATAATTAAACTTGAAAATTAAAAAGTACAAAAGATTGACAAAACAAAAAGTTATGGTTTTTGGAATAAACAAAACTGACAAACTGCTAGCTACACTAGGAACAAAAGAGAGAATACCCAAGAATATAAAACAAGAAATGAAAAAAGAGACATAACAACTGATATGACAGACATACAAATGCTCATTAGAGTCTACTATGAACAGCTGTACACCAACAATTTGGAAAACTGAAAGAAATCAAAAATTTCTAGACATACGCTATCTACCAAGATTGCAGCATGAAGAAATAGAAAACCTCAGCAGACCAATAATGAGTACCCAAATCAAAGTAGTAATCAAAAGTCTCACATGAGGAAAGCTCCAATGAAATTTGGTGCCTTTACTGCTGAATTCTACCAAACATTTAATGAAGAAGCGACACAAATTCTGTTAAAACTAAAAAAATTTAAATGGAGTGGATACCTTCAAATTCATCCTAGGAGCCCAGCATTACCCTGATATCAAAAGCAGTCAAGGACACAACAAAAGTAGAAAACTATAGACCAATAACCCTTATGTATACACATACAAAATTCCTCAACAACATACTATCAAACTGAACACAACACATTAAAAATGTGGGATTCCTCTCAGTGATGCAAGGTGGTTCACCATATGCAAATTAATACACATGACACAGCACATTACAAAATCAAGAACAAAAACCATAGATGATTTTAATATATGCCAAAAAAGCATTTGATAAATTTAACATATCTTTATGATAAAAACTCTTAACAATCTGAGTATACAAGGAATATACCTCAAAAGAATAAAGGCCATCTATGACAAACATATAACTACCTCATGCTGAATGGGGAAAAGTGGAAAGTCTTTCCTCTAAGATCTAGAACAAGACAACGATATTCACCTTTTGTAACTTTAACTAAATATAGCACTGGAAGTCTTAGCTGAAACAATTAGGCAAGAGAAAAAAATAACAGGCATAAAAATTGGAAAGAAATAAGTCAAAATATACTTGTTTGCAGATGATGTGATCTTGTATTTAGAAAAATCTGAAGACCCCAGCAAAAAGGAATTAATGAATGAATTCAGCAAAGTTGTTACATACAAAATCATTAGCACTTTCATATGCTAACAGTGAATAATCTCAGAAAGAAATCCCTATAGTTTGGATGTTTTTGCATCAAACTTCATGTTGAAATTTGATCCCCTATGTTGCAAGTGGAGCCCAATATGAAGAGTTAGGGTCATGGGAGCTGATTCCTCAAGTGTCTTTGTGCTATCTTCATGGTAATGAATAATTCTTGCTTTATTTTTTCCCATGAAAACTGGTTGTTAAAAACAACCTGACATTTCCTCCCTCTCTCTCACTTCCATGCTTACCATGTGATCTCTTCATATACCAGTTCTCCTTCACGTTCCACCATGAATAAAAGAAGCTGGAGGCCCTCACCAGAAGCTATGTTGGCACAATAGTTTTTATCAGCCTGTAGAACTCTGAGTCAAATAAACCTTTTTTTTTTCTTTGTATAAGCTTCTCAGCCTCAGACATTTCTTTATAGCAACACAAATGAACTATGACAGAAAATTGGTAACAAGAAGTGGGACATTGCTATAATGATACCTGAAACCGTGGAAGTAGCTTTGAAACTGAGTTAATGGATAGAGGTTAGAAGAGTTTTGAGGACTCAGAAGAGCAGAGAAAGTTTGGAAATTCTTTTTTATTTTTATTTTATTATTATAATTTTTTTATTTTACTTTAAGTTATAGGGTACATGTGCACAACATGCAGGTTTGTTACATATGTATACATGTGCCATGTTGGTGTGCTGCACCCGTTAACTCATCATTTACATTAGGTATATCTCCTAATGCTGTCCCTCCCCCATCCCCCTATCCCACAACAGGCCCCAGTGTGTGATGTTCCCCACCCTGTGTCCATGTGTTCCTATTGTTCAGTTCACACCTATGAGTGAGAACATGAGGCGTTTGGTTTTCTGTCCTTGCAATAGTTTGCTGAGAATGATGGTTTCCAGCTTCATCTATGTCCCTAAAAAGGACATGAACTCATCCTTTTTTATGGCTGCATAGTATTCCATGGTGTATATGTGCCACATCTTCTTAATCCAATCTATCATTGATGGACATTTGGGTTGGTTCCAAGTCTTTGCTATTGTGAATAGTGCTGCAATAAACATACATGTGCATGTGTCTTTATAGCAGCATGGTTTATAATCCTTTGGGTATATGCTCAATAATGGGATGGCTGGGTCAAATGGTATTTCCGGTTCTAGATCCTTGAGGAATTGCCACACTGTCTTCCACAATGGTTGAACTAGTTTACAGTCCCACCAACAGTGTAAAAGTGTTCCTATTTCTCCACATCCTCCCCAGCACCTGTTGTTTCCTGACTTTTTAATGATCGCCATTCTGACTGGTGTGAGATGGTATCTCACTGTGGTTTTGATTTGTATTTCTCTGATGGCCAGTGATGACAAGCATTTTTTCATGTGTCTGTTGGCTGCATAAATGTCTTCTTTTGAGAAGTGTCTGTTCATATCCTTTGCCCACTTGTTGATGGGGTTGTTTGATTTTTTTCTCGTAAATTTGTTTGTGTTCTTTGTAGATTCTGGATATTAGCCCTTTTTCGGATGGGTAGACTGTAAAAATTTTCTCCCATTCTGGAGGTTGCCTGTTAACACTGATGGTAGTTTCTTTTGCTGTGCAGAAGCTCTTTAATTAGATCCCATATGTCAATTTTGGCTTTTGTTGCCATTGCTTTTGGTGTTTTAGACATGAAGACCTTGGCATGCCTATGTCCTGAATGGTATTGCCTAGGTTTTCTTCCAGGGTTTTTATGGTTTTAGATCTAATATTTAAGTCTTTAATCCATCTTGAATTATTTTTGTATAAGGTGTAAGGAAGGGATCCAGTTTCAGCTTTCTACATATGGCTAGCCAGTTTTCCCAGCACCATTTATTAAATAGGGAATCCTTTCCCCATTTCTTGTTTTTGTAAGGTTTGCCAAAGATCACATGGTTGTATATGTGTGGTATTATTTCTGAGGGCTCTATTCTGTTCCATTGATCTATGTCTCTGTTTTGGTACCAGTACCATGCTGTTTTGGTTACTGTAGCCTTGTAGTATAGTTTGAAGTCAGGTAGCATGATGCCTCTAGCTTTGTTCTTTTTGCTTAGGATTTTCTTGACAATGTGGGCTCTTTTTTGGTTTCATATGAACTTTAAAGTAGTTTTTTCCAATTCTGTGAAGAAAGTCATTGGTAGCTTGATGGGGATGGCATTGAATCTATAAATTACCTTGGGCAGTATGGCCATTTTCACGATATTGATTCTTCCTACCCATGAGCATGGAATTTTCTTCCATCTGTGTCCTTTTATTTTGTTGAGCAGTGGTTTGTAGTTCTCCTTGAAGAGGTCCTTCACATCCCTTGTAAGTTGGATTCCTAGGTATTTTATTCTCTTTGAAGCAATTGTGAATGGGAGTTCACTCATGATTTGGCTCTCTGTTTGTCTGTTATTGGTGTATAAGAAGGCTTTTGATTTTTGCACATTGATTTTGTATCCTGAGACTTCGCTGAAGTTGCTTATCAGCTTAAGGAGACTTTGGGCTGAGATGATGGGGTTTTCTAGATATACAATCATGTCATCTGCAAACAAGGACAATTTGATTTCCTCTTTTCCTAACTGAATACCCTTTATTTCTTTCGCTTGCCTGATTGCCCTAGCCGGAACTTCCAACACTATGTTGAATAGGAATGGTGAGAGAGGGCATCCCTGTCTTGTGCCAGTTTTCAAAGGGAATGCTTCCAGTTTTTGCCCATTCAGTATGATATTGGCTGTGGGTTTGTCATAAATAGCTCCTATTATTTTGAGATATGTCCCATCAATACCTAGTTTATTAAGAGGTTTTAGCATGCAGGGCTGTTAAATTTTGTCAAAGGCCATATCTGCACCTATTGAGATAATCATGTGGTTTTTGTCTTTGGTTCTGTTTATATGCTGGATTACGTTTATTGATTTGCGTATGTTGAACCAGCCTTGCATCCCAGGGATGAAGCCAACTTGATCATGGTGGATAAGCTTTTTGATGTGCTGCTAGATTCAGTTTGCTAGTATTTTAATGAGGATTTTTGCATCGATGTTCATCATGGATATTGGTCTAAAATTCTCTTTTTTTGTTGTGTCTCTGCCAGGCTTTGGTATCAGGATGATGTTGGACTCATAAAATGAGTTAGGGAGGATTCCCTCTTTTTCTATTGATTGGAATAGTTTCAGAAGGAATGGAACCAGCTCCTCTTTCTACCTCTGGTAGAATTCGGCTGTGAATCCTTCTGGTCCTGGACTATTTTTGATTGGTAGGCTATTAATTATTGCCTCAATTTCAGAACCTATTATTGGTCTATTCAGGGATTCAACTTCTTCCTGGTTTAGTCTTGGGAGAGTGTATGTGTCGAGGAATTAATCCATTTCTTCTAGATTTGCTAGTTTATTTGTGTAGAGGTGTTTATAGTATTCTGTGATGGTAGATTGTATTTCTATAGGATCAGTGGTGGTATCGCCTTTATTATTTTTTAATGCATTTATTTGATTCTTCTCTCTTTTCTTCTCTATTAGTCTTGCTAGTAGTCTATCAATTTTGTTGATCTTTTCAAGAAACTAGCTCCTGGATTCATTGATTTTTTTGAAGGGTTTTTTGTGTCTCTATCTCCTTCAGTTCTGCTCTGATCTTAGTTATTTCTTGCCTTCTGCTAGCTTTTGAATGTGTTTGCTCTTGCTTCTCTACTTCTTTTAATTGTGATGTTAGGGTGTAAATTTTAGATCTCTCCTGCTTTCTCTTGTGGGCATTTAGTGCTGTAAATTTCCCTCTACACACTGTTTTAAATGTGTCCCAGAGATTCTGATATGTTGTGTCTTTGTTCTCATTGGTTTCAAAGAACATGTTTATTTTTGTCTTCATTTCGTTATGTACCCAGTAGTCATTCAGGAGCAGGTTGTTCAGTTTCCATGTAGTTGAGCGGTTTTGAGTGAGTTTCTTAATCCTGAGTCCTAGTTTGATTGCACTGTGGTCTGAGAGACAGTTTGTTATAATTTCTGTTCTTTTACATTTGCTGAGGAGTGCTTTACTTCCAACTATGTGGTCAATTTTGGAATAGGCATGGTGTGGTGCTGAGAAGAATGTATATTCTGTTGTTTTGGGGTGGAGAGTTCTGTAGATGTCTATTAGGTCCTCTTGGTGCAGAGCTGAGTTCAATTCCTGGATATCCTTGTTAACTTTCTGTCTCATTGATCTGTCTAATGTTGACAGTGGAGTGTTAAAGTCTCCCATTATTATTGTGTGGGAGTCTAAGCCTCTTTTAAGTCTCTAAGGACTTGCTTTAAGAATCTGGGTGCTCCTGTATTGGGTGCATATATATTTAGAATAGTTAGCTCTTCTTGTTGAATTGATCCCTTTACCATTAGGTAATACCCTTCTTTGTCTCTTTTGATCTTTGCTGGTTTAAAGTCTGTTTTATCAGGGACTGGGATTGCAACCCCTGCCTTTTTTTGTTTTCCATTTGCTTGGTAGATCTTCCTCCATCCCTTTATTTTGAGCATATGTGTGTCTCTGCACGTGAGATGGGTCTCCTGAATATAGCACACTGATGAGTCTTGACTCTTTATCCAATTTGCCAGTCTGTGTCTTTTAATTGGAGCATTTAGCCCATTTACATTTAAGGTTAATATTGTTATATGTGAATTTGATCCTGTCATTATGATGTTAGCTGGTTATTTTGCTCATTAGTTGATGCAGTTTCTTCCTAGTATTGATTGTCTTATTGGCATGTTTTTGCAGTGGCTGGTACAGGTTGTTCCTTCCCATGTTTAGTGTTTCCTTCAGGAGCTCTTGTAAGGCAGGCCTGGTGGTTACAAAATCTCTCAGCATTTTTTTCTCTGTAAAGTGTTTTATTTCTCTATCATTTATGGAGCTTAGTTTGGCCGAATATGAAATTCTGGGTTGAAAATTCTTTTCTTTAAGAATGTTGAACATTGGCCCCCACTCTCTTCTGGCTTGTAGAGTTCCTGCCAAGAGATCTGCTGTTAGTCTGATGGGCTTCCCATTGTGGGTAACCCGACCTTTCTCTCTGGCTGTCCTTAATATTTTTTCCTTTGTTTCAACTTTGGTGAATCTGACAATTGTGTCTTGGAGTTGCTCTTCTCAAGGAGTATCTTTCTGGCGTTCTCTGTATTTCCTGAATTTTAATGTTGGCTTGCCTCACTAGGTTGGGGAAGTTCTCCTAGATGATATCCTGAAGAGTGTTTTCCAACTTGGTTTCATTCTCCCCATCACTTTCCGGTACACCAACCAGACATAGATTTGGTCTTTTCACATAGTCCCATATTTCTTGGAGGCTTTATTCATTTCTTTTTACTCTTTTGTTCTCTAAACTTCTCGTCTCACTTCATTTCATTCAGTTGATCTTCAATCACTGATATCCTTTCTTCCATTTGATCAAATCTGCTACTGAAGCTTGTGCATGTGTTACGTAGTTCTCGTGCCATGGTTTTCAGCTCCATCAGGTCATTTAAGGACTTCTCTACACTATTTATTCTAGTTAGCCATTTGCCTACTTTTTTCAAGGTTTTTAGCTTCTTTGTGATGGGTTCAAACATCTTCCTTTAGCTCGGAGAAGTCTGTTATTACCGATCATCTGAAGCCTTCATCTCTCGACTCATCAAAGTCATTCTCCATCCAGCCTTGTTCCATTACTGGTGAGGAGCTGTGTTCCTTTGGAGGAGAACAGGCATTCTGATTTTTAGAATTTTCAGCTTTTCTACTCTGGTTTCTCCCCATCTTTGTGGTTTTATCTACCTTTGGTCTTTGATGATGGTGACGTACAAATGGGGTTTTGGTGTGGATGCCCTTTCTGTTTGTTAGTTTTCCTTCTAACAGTCAGGACCCTCAGCTGCAGGTCTGTTGGAGTTTGCTGGAGGTCCACTCCAGACTCTGTTTGCCTGGGTATCACCAGTGGTGGCTGCAGAACAGCAAATATTGCTGCCTAATCCTTCCTCTGGAAGCTTCGTCTCAGAGAGGCACCCAGCCTTTTGAGGTGTCAGTCGCCACCCTACTGGGAGGTGCCTCCCAGTTAGGATACTCAGGGGTCAGGGACCCACTTGAAGAGTCAGTCTGTCCATTTTCAGATCTCAAACTCCGTGCTGGGAGAACCACTACTCTCTTCAAAGCTGTCAGACAGGGACATTTAAGTCTGCAGAAGTTTCTGCTGCCTTTTGTTCAGCTATGCCCTGCCCCTAGAAGTGGAGTCTACAGAGGCAGGCAGGCCTCCTTGAGCTGCGGTGGGCTCCACCCAGCTGGAGCTTCCTGGCTGCTTTGTTTACCTACTCAAGCCTCAGCAATGGTGGACGCCCCTCCCCCAGCCTCGCTGCCACCTTGCAGTTCAATCTCAGACTGCTGTGCTAGCAGTGACCGAGGTTCCGTGGGCGTGGGACCCTCCAAGCCAGGTGCGGGATATAATCTCCTGGTGTGCCATTTGCTAAGGCTGTTGGAAAAGTATAGTATTAGGGTGGGAGTAACCCAATTTTCCAGGTGCCATCTGTCACGGCTTCCCTTTGCTAGGAAAGGGAATTCCCTGATCCCTTGTGCTTCTCGGGTGAGACTATGCCCTGCCCTGCTCCGTGGGCTGCACCCACTTGTCTGGCAAGCCCCAGTGAAATGAACCCGGTACCTTACTTAGAAATGCAGAAATCACCCGTCTTCTGCGTTGTTCACACTGGGAGCTGCAGGCTGGACCTGTTCCTATTTGGCCATCTTGGTGCCACTCCCCTTGAACTTCTTAAAGATTGGTTATGTGATTGTGATTAAAAATGCAGATAGAATATAGACAGTGAAGGCCCTGCTGACGAGGTCACAGATGGAAAGGAGGAATTTATTGGAAACTGGAGCCAAGGTCACCCATATTTTTCTATAGCAAAGAACTTAGATGCATTGTGTTCATGCCCTGGGGCTTTGTGAAGGGGTAAACTTATGACCTAGGGTATCTGTCAGAAGAAATTTCAAAGCAGCAAAACCTTCAAGAAGTGGTTTTCCTGCTTTTAACAGCTTATGACCAGATAAAGTAGGAAAGCAAAAGCCTAAAGGTGGAATTTATTATTAAAAAGGAATAAAGTGTAAAATATTGGAAAATTTGCAGCCCGGACATGTGATAGGAAAGGAAAAAGCATTTTCAGGAAAGAATTTCAAGGGTGCTGCACAGCAATTACTTGCTAGAGAGATTGGCACAACTAAAAGGGAGCCAGGTGGTAATAGTCAAGAAAATGGGGAGAAAGCCTCCAGGATATTTCAGAAATCTCCTACACTGCTTCCCTCATCACAGTCCCAGAGGCATAGGAAGACAACATAATTTTGGGGGCCAGGTTGAGATGCCACTGACCTCTGCCATTTCAAGACAGTGCCCCATGCATCCTGGACATTCTGGCTCCAGCCACAGCTCACAGGGTCCAAGATACTATTTGGGCTGCCATTGCAGAAAGAATAAGCCATAAGCCTTTGAAGCTTCCATTTGGTGTTAAGACTGCATGTACCCAGAATGCAAGAGTGGTGGAGGATTGGCAGCTTCTGCCAAGATTTCAGATGATATATTGGAAAGTCTGAGCACCCACACATAAGCTTGTTGCAGGGCAGAGCCTCCACAGACAGATTCTGCTATGGCAATACCAAGCAGAAATGTGTGGTTGGAGCCCCTGTAGGTAGTCCTCATCTGAGCACTGCCTAATGGAGCTGGGGGAGCAGGACAACCACCCTCCAGACCCCAGAATTATAGAGCCACATGCAAACATGCAATTTCAGCCTGAAGAGGTCACAGGCATTCAATTTCAACTCATGGGAGCAACCATGTGGGCCATGCCCAGCGAAGCCATAAAGACAGGGCTTCTCAAGCCTTATAGGCCCACTGCTCATATCAGGGTGCCCAGGATATGTGACATGGAGTCATTTTGGAGCTTTAAGTTTGAATGTCTGCCCTCTTGGGTTTCAGACTTGCATAGGATCTGTTATTCTTTTCTTAGGATAATTTAACCATTTTGAACTGGAAATGTTTACCCAATGACTGTACAATCATTGCACCTTGAAAGTAAACAATTTGTTTTTCATTTTACAAGCTCACAGTGGGAAAGAATTGCCTTGAGTCTCAGATGAGACTTTAGGCTTTTGAGTTGATGCTGGAACAAGTTAAGACTTTTGGGGACTATTTGGATAAAATAATTGTGTTTTGTATGTTTAATACACATTACTTTTAGGGAACTGTGAGTGGAATACTATAGTTTGGGTGTTTTTCCCCCCAAACCTCATGTTGGAATTTGATCCCCATTGTTGAAGATGGGATCTAATGGGAGGTGCTTGTTTCATGGGGCAGATACCTCATAAATGGCTTGGTGCTGTCCTGTAGTAATAAGTGAGTTTTTGTTCTGCTAGTTCCCACAAGAGCTGGTTGTTAAAAAGAGCCTGTCACTTCCTCTCTTTCCCATTCACTTCCTGTCTTGCCATATGATCTCTGCACACAACAGTTCCCTTTGTTCTTCCAAAATCAGTGGAAGCAGCCTAAAGCCTTCACCAAAAAAGCTGTTGGTGGCATGCTTCCTGTACAGCCTGTAGAACTGTGAGCCAAATAAACTTATTTTCTTTATAAATTACCAGCTTCAGGTATTACTTTATAGGGACACAGATGGACCAAGACAGAAATCAAGGGCACAATCTCATTTACAATAAATATAAAAGTAATATACGTAGGAATAAATATAACCAATGAAGTGAAAGACCTCTAAAATAGAACTATAAAACACTGATGAAAGACATTGAAGACAACACAAACAATGAAAAGATATCCCATTCTTATGCATTGGAAGAATTAATATTGCTAAAATATAAACACCACCCAAAACAATTTAGAAATTGAGTGCAATATCTATCAAAGTGTCAATAACATTTTTTATAGAAATAGAAAAAACAACACTAAAATTCACACAAAAACCAAATAGCCAAAGCAACCCTGAGATAAAAGATCAAAGCTGGAGGCATGGCACTACCTGACTTTGAAGTATACCGTAAAGCCATAGTAACCAAAAGAGCAAGGGGGTGGCATAAAACAGAAACTTAGACTAGCAGAACAGAACAGATAACCCAGAAATACATTTATGTATTTACATCCAATTCATTTTTGACAAAGACCTCAAGAACATATATTGGGCAAATGGCAGTCTCTTCAATAAGTTGTGCTGGAAAAACTGAATAGCCATAGGTGGAAGAATAAAACTACACCCCTATCTCTCACCATATACAAAAATTAAACCACAATGATTAAAGACTTAAATCTAAGACCTGAAACTATGAAACTACTAGAAGAGGACATGGAGTCTGTCCACCCAGTACATTGATCTGGACAAACCTTTTTTGGCCAATATTCCCAGAGCACAGAAAAAAAAAGAAACATTAGACAAATGGGATTACATCAAGCTAAAAAGCCTCTGCACCACAAAGAAAACAATCAACAAAGTGAAGAGAATGAATAACCTCTGAATAACCTACAGAATGAGAGAACTCTTTCACAAACTATCCATCTGCAAAGAGATTAATAACCAGAATATATAGAAAATTTAAACAACTCCATAGCAAAAAAAAAAAAGAATTAAAATGGGCAAAAGCTCTCAATAGACATTTCTCAAAAGAAGACATGGAAGTGTCTAATGGGTATATAAAAAAAAAACCCATGACATCACTAATCATCAGGGAAATGTGCATGATAACCACAATAAAATATTATCTCACCCAAGTTACAATTGCTTTTTATCAAAAAGACAAAAAATAACTGATGTTGTTGAGGATGTGGAGGGAGGACAACCTTGGTATAATATTGGTAGAAACGTAAATTAGTACAGTCACTATAAAACAGTATGGAGTTTCCTCAAATAACTAAAAATAGAAGTATCATATGATTCAGCAATCTCACTGCTGCATATATATCCAGGAGAAAGGAAGTCATATCTATTAACATTTCATATCTATTGCTGCAGTATTCACAATAGTTAAGATGTGGAATCAGCCTAAGCATCTATCAATGTCTGAATGGATAAAGAAAATGTGGTACATATACACGATGGGATATTATTCAGCCATAAAATAGAATGAATCCTGACATTCACAACAACGTGGAAAGAACTGGAGGTCATTATCTTGTGTAAAGTAAGCCAGGAACACAAAAACAGATGTTACATATTCTCACTCACATGTGGGAGCTGAAAAATTGGATCTCCTAGAGACAGAGAGTAGATTGGTGGGTATCAGAGGCTGGGAACGGTAGCAGGGAGGGGAAATAAAGAGAGGTTGATTAATGAATATTAAATTACAGTTAGAAGGAATAAGATCTAGTGTTTAATATTTCAGTAGGATGATGTTAGTTAACAATCATTTATTACATATTTCAAAATAGCTATAATAGAAGAGAATTCAAATGTTCTCAATATAAAGAAAAGACAAATATTTGAGGTCATGGATATCCCAGTTACCCTGACTTGAATATTACACATAAATGAGTTTCCTTCTGCCTCGGCCACCTGAAACATCAAGATCAACCCTTTCTTTTTCTCCTCTTCCTCAGCCTACTCATTGTGAAGATAATGAGGATGAAGACCTTTATGATAATCCACTTCCACTTAGTGAATAATAAATAAATTTTTTCTACTTTTTTACTTTCTTAATAATATTGTCTTTTCTCTAGGTTCCTTTGTTGTAAGAATAGAGTATGTAATATATATAAGATAGAAAATATATGTTAACTACTTTTTATGTCATTGTTAAGGCTTCTGGTCAATAGTAGCCTATCAGTAGTTCAGTTATTGTGAAGTCAAAAGCAATGCTCAGATTTTTGACTACATTGGCATGTTGGTGCTCCTAACTCCCACATTATTCAAAGGTCAACTGTTTTATACATCAAAAAAAAGAATGGGTTTTGGAAACCTAAATGATAGAATTTCAGATGAATGTTAATTCAAATAGTTAAGTGGGAAATGATAATTAAGATAAAGTTAAATGGGTAATACATTTAAAAATTGAGAAAAAATTAACACACATGGAAACTAGATATTAGTGGGTAAATATCTCCATGGACAAAAGAAACAGTATATAAAGGCTATTGTGTCATTTTGTCAAAATAGTTCAGACTGATAAAGCAAAATGATAAATCTTAAAAAATTGAAAATTGGACAAGATTAAGGAATTATTATACTATAATAAAGGTGAAAATGGGGACTCAGAAAAGAGCAATGCATACTGAAGTTACAGTTTTTTTTTTTTTGAAGCATCTGGTTATATTGATTTGAAGATTCACAGACCCATGGAACAAGGATAACAGATCTTCAGAAGCCTGAGATATTGTGGACTTCTGGGAATTTAGGATAAGTGCCTTTTATCACTCTGGTCAAAATGTGTCATTATCTTTTTAAATTTATATTTTCTATTTTTAATTTTATTACTAAGTTATAGTTTTATTTCATTGGTTAGATTATTTATACTTTGGAAATATATTGAATATTTTTGCATGAATAGATAACCTATTTTTTTAAACTGCTTTTCATGAATACTCCTTCTTTTTAAAAGGAGGCTTATTCCCTAACATTGGTGTTCAAAGCTGGATACATATCTTTAATATCTACCTTTAAATTACATCTTTTAGGATTCTTTTGGCTTTTTTTAAAAAAATGAAGTATAATATTTTAAGACCCCCCAACTATAACTCTATCTTCATTGTAAATTTTAGCTTTTAAAATTATAAACTGTACTTCTTCATCTTGTTTAATAATGTTTTGCTCAAATTCAACCTTACCAGATTTTTTTTTGCATTATTCTCTTTTTATTTATTTATTATTATTATACTTTAAGTTTTAGGGTACATGTGCACAATGTGCAGGTTAGTTACATATGTATACATGTGCCATGCTGGTGCACTGCACCCACTAACTCATCATCTAGCATTAGGTATATCTCCCAATGCTATCCCTCCCCGCTCCCCCCACCCCACAACAGGCCCCAGAGGGTGATGTTCCCCTTCCTGTGTCCATGTGTTCTCATTGTTCAATTCCCACCTATGAGTGAGAATATGCAGTGTTTGGTTTTTTGTTCTTGCGATAGTTTACTGAGAATGATGATTTCCAATTTCATCCATGTCCCTACAAAGGACAAGAACTCATCATTTTTTATGGCTGCATAGTATTCCATGGTGTATATGTGCCACATTTTCTTAATCCAGTCTATCATTGTTGGACATTTGGGTTGCACATATAACAATGTTAACTTTAAATGTAAATGGACTAAATTCTCCAATTAAATGACACAGACTGGCAAATTGGATAAAGAGTCAAGACTCATCAGTGTGCTGTATTCAGGAAACCCATCTCACATGCAGAGACACACAGAGGCTCAAAATAAAAGGATGGAGGAAGATCTGCCAAGCAAATGGAAAACAAAAAAAGGCAGGGGTTGCAATCCTAGTCTCTGATAAAACAGACTTCAAACCAACAAAGATCAAAAGAGACAAAGAAGGCCATTACATAATGGTAAAGGGATCAATTCAACAAGAAGAGCTAACTATCCTAAATATATATGCACCCAATACAGGAGCACCCAGATTCATAAAGCAAGTCCTGAGTGACCTACGAAGAGACTTAGACTGCCACACATTAATAATGGGAGACTTTAACACCCCACTGACAATATCAGACAGATTAACGAGAAAGAAAGTCAACAAAGATACCAAGGAATTGAACTCAGCTATGCACCAAGCAGACCTAATAAACATCTACAGAACTCTCCACCCCAAATCAACAGAATATACATTTTTTTTCAGCACCACACCACACCTATTCCAAAATTGACCACATAGTTGGAAGTAAAGCACTCCTCAGCAAATGTAAAAGAACAGAAATTGTAACAAACTATCTCTCAGACCAACCACAGTGCAATCAAACTAGAACTCAGGATTAAGAATCTCACTCAAAACCACTCAACTACATGGAAACTGAACAACCTGCTCCTGAATGACTACTGGGTACATAACGAAATGAAGGCAGAAACAAAGATGTTCTTCGAAACCAACGAGAACAAAGACACAACATACCAGAATCTCTGGGACACATTCAAAGCAATGTGTAGAGGGAAATTTATAGCACTAAATGCCCACAAGAGAAAGCAGGAAAGATCCAAAATTGACACCCTAACATCACAATTAAAAGAACTAGAAAAGCAAGAGCAAACATATTCAAAAGCTAGCAGAAGGCAAGAAATAACTAAAATCAGAGCAGAACTGAAGGAAATAGAGACACAAAAAACCCTTCAAAAAATTAATGAATCCAGGAGCTGGTTTTTTGAAGGATCAACAAAATTGATAAACCGCTAGCAAGACTAATAAAGAAAAAAAGAGAGAAGAATCAAATAGACGCAATAAAACATGATAAAGGGGATATCACCACCGATCCCACAGAAATACAAACTACCATCAGAGAATACTACAAACACCTCTACGCAAATAAACGAGAAAATCTAGAAGAAATGGATAAATTCCTCGACACATACACTCTCCCAAGACTAAACCAGGAAGAAGTTGAATCTCTGAATAGACCAATAACAGGCTCTGAAATTGTGGCAATAATCAATAGCTTACCAACCAAAAAGAGTCCAGGACCAGATGGATTCACAGCCGAATTCTACCAGAGGTATAAGGAGGAACTGGTACCATTCCTTCTGAAACTATTCCAATCAATAGAAAAAGAGGGAATCCTCCCTAACTCATTTTATGAGGCCAGCATCATCCTGATACCAAAGCCGGGCAGAGACACAACCAAAAAAGAGAATTTTAGACCAATTTCCTTGATGAACATTGATGCAAAAATCCTCAATAAAATACTAGCAAACAGAATCCAGCAGCACATCAAAAAGCTTATCCACCATGATCAAGTGGGCTTCATCCCTGGGATGCAAGGCTGGTTCAATATACGCAAATCAATAAATGTAATCCAGCATATAAACAGAGCCAAAGACAAAAACCACATGATTATCTCAATAGATGCAGATAAGGCCTTTGACAAAATTCAACAACCCTTCATGCTAAAAACTCTCAATAAATTAGGTATTGATGGGACGTATCTCAAAATAATAAGAGCTATCTGTGACAAACCCACAGCCAATATCATACTGAATGGGCAAAAACTGGAAGCATTCCCTTTGAAAACTGGCACAAGACAGGGATGCCCTCTCTCACCACTCCTATTCAACATAGTGTTGGAAGTTCTAGCCAGGGCAATTAGGCAGGAGAAGGAAATAAAGGGTATTCAATTAGGAAAAGAAGAAGTCAAATTGTCCCTGTTTGCAGATGACATGATTGTATATCTCGAAAACCCCATTGTCTCAGCCCAAAATCTCCTTAAGCTGATAGGCAACTTCAGCAAAGTCTCAGGATACAAAATCAATGTACAAAAATCACAAGCATTCTTATACACCAACAACAGACAAACAGAGAGCCAAATCATGAGTGAAATCCCATTCACAATTGCTTCAAAGAGAATAAAATACCTGGGAATCCAACTTATAAGGGATGTGAAGGACCTCTTCAAGGAGAACTACAAACCACTGCTCAAGGAAATAAAAGAGGATACAAACAAATGGAAGAACATTCCATGCTCATGGGTAGGAAGAATCAATATCATGAAAATGGCCATACTGCCCAAGGTAATTTACAGATTCAATGCCATCCCCATCAAGCTACCAATGACTTTCTTCACAGAATTGGAAAAAACTACTTTAAAGTTCATATGGAACCAAAAAAGAGCCCACATCGCCAAGTCAATCCTAAGCCAAAAGAACAAAGCTGGAGGCATCACACTATCTGACTTTAAACTATACTACAAGGCTACAGTAACCAAAACAGCATGGTACTGGTACCAAAACAGAGATACAGATCAATGGAACAGAACAGAGCCCTCAGAAATAATGCCGCATATCTACAACTATCTGATCTTTGACAAACCTGAGAAAAACAAGAAATGGGGAGAGGATTCCCTATTATTAAATGGTGCTGGGAAAACTGGCTAGCCATATGTAGAAAGCTGAAACTGGATCCCTTCCTTACACATTTTACAAAAATCAGTTCAAGATGGATTAAAGACTTAAACGTTAGACTTAAAACCATAAAAACCTTAGAAGAAAACCTAGGCATTACCATTCAGGACATAAGCATGGGCAAGGACTTCATGTCTAAAACACCAAAAGCAATGGCAACAAAAGACAAAATTGACAAATGGGATCTAATTAAACTAAAGAGCTTCTGCACAGCAAAAGAAACTACCATCAGAGTGAACAGGCAACCTACAGAATGGGAGAAAATTTTCGCAACATACTCATCTGACAAAGGGTTAATATCCAGAATCTACAATGAACTCAAACAAATTGACAAGAAAAAAACAAACAACCCCATCAAAAAGTGGGCAAAGGACATGAACAGACACTTCTCAAAAGAAGACATTTATGCAGCCAAAAGACACATGAAAAAATGCTCACCATCACTGGCCATCAGAGAAATGCAAATCAAAACCACAGTGAGATACCATCTCACACCAGTTAGAATGGCAATCATTAAAAAGTCAGGAAACAACAGGTGCTGGAGAGGATGTGGAGAAATAGGAACACTTTTACACTGTTGGTGGGACTGTAAACTAGTTCAACCATTGTGGAAGTCAGTGTGGCGATTCCTCAGGGATCTAGAACTGGAAATACCATTTGACCCAGCCATCCCATTACTGGGTATATACCCAAAGGACTATAAATCATGCTGCTATAAAGACACATGCACATGTATGTTTATTGCTGCATTATTCACAATACCAAAGACTTGGAACCTTACCAGATATTATGTTTGACACCTATGTCTTCACTTAGCTTGTGATTACCTGAGATTTATTTGTCACCCTGTAGTTTCAGCCTTTTTGAATGCTTTTAAGTACATCCTCTATATACAGCAGAGGGATGGGCTTTGCTTTGTGTGCCATCTGAAAATCTTTTTCCTTTAAAAAGCTGAGATAAGATAGAGTTACATATTTTCATAAGATAAATTTGTTTGGTGTTTGTTCCATCCAGTTATCTTATTTTTTGTATTATCTTATATTTACTATTTGTCTTTTCCACTATGTTGTCGGCCTTCTTTATGTTTGAACTTTTTGCTGTTTGTATTTCTTTGGCAACTTGTGAAGTTTTTGTTGTTGTTGCTGTTGTTGTTCTAGGAAGCATAATTATGCTAATATCTTTGTATAATTCCCTCAGTTTCAGTCTCTTTTAGTCAGAAGTCTACTACATGATGTGTCCATGTAAAAACGTATTACTTTCATTTCTTACTTGTATATTAATAACGCAATTCCACTTTTCCTTTCACTTTCTTCTCTCTTCATAACTTTTAAGTTGTTATTTTTACTTTGTCAGAGCATATGACATGTGGACATTGTTTCTACACATTTATATCCACCTTTGTTGTACTTTTAGCTGCGCCATTTAATTTATTCAATGCTTTATAGAAGTCAGTTTGTCAACGTTTCCCCCATTCGTGTCTTGGGTAAATACATTTTGATGTTAGTAAGATTAGTAAGGTAAAGCTTATTAGTACAAAATTAGTATTAGGTGTATTAGGTGTTTAAAACTTATTTTACATAGCCTTCTTTCTTAAAGGAAAGCTCAGTTTGATATAAAAAAATTTGGACAATATTTTCAAGTATGCTTAGATTTGATAATTATACATATTATAATTTTATATGTATCCATGAGATAATAAGAATAGGATGTGCCATTAACACACAAATAAAGTTTTAAAAATGAAATGACAAATAATTACTCTAAAATAATGCAAAATGATGAATGGAAACAGGAACTGATAAGGGTGGCTATAATACATTATAGGATGAAGTAAAATATTGATAATTTCATCATATGTAAATGTTATAAGTGATCTGATTGAAAGATGAAGGTTATCAGACTGGATTTTTAAAACCCTACTTAAAAAAATAAATGTATCCAAATTATTCAAAAGTTGATGAAATTATGATATCACATACAACTACCACAAAAAAACATAGTATATCTGCATTAATAATTGCAAAATAGCCTTCTGAATTTACATGTCTCTAGTTATTTGACTTCAATATGAAAAATAATAATTACTGGAAGAAATATAAAAATTAATCATTACAGTGAAAATTATTAACACACAATTCTCAGTAATTGATGGAGAAGTGAGATAAAAATGATCAGGGAGAGAATATTTGAAATAAACTTGCGATTTATATATGATACTACATCTATAAACTTCTGACTATGCATTTTTATTTCACATTCACACAGAAAATGTAGAAAGATTAGTCATATACTTCTGGGCCATAAAGTAGTGTTAGTACATTTCAAAAGTTTTAAATTCATACAGAACATTTTCTGACCTCATGGGAATTAAGTCAGGAAGCACTAAGAACAACAAAAATCAGAAAATCCTCCAATGTTCAAAAATTAACCAAGAGGAGACTTCTAGGAACTAATGTGCCCTGAACACAATGTATGATTAACTGAATTCTGTCCAAATGAGAAGGAAAAAGAGAGGGCAAGTAGGGAAACAACAAGGTATACATTTCTCAAAGTGGTTACAACATTGGTGAGAGATACAATGAAAAATGAAGGATAAATTCTGCTCCCCAAAACTTTTTTTGTATTTCAGATTGTGTGCTTTCTTTGCTTTGCTTTTTTCCCCCTTAACTTCCATGATTTTAAAAAAAACCGCTTTACTTTGAGTTTTCTATTTTTAAATTTTGTGGGTACATAGTAAGTGTCTGCATAAAGGCAGGATAGCTATGAGAAGTGTCATCTTACTTGATCGCTACATTTTTCATGTGGCATCAATGCCCACTTATGTGGCAGATACCATATAAGAACTATATTAGGCCATTCTCCCATTGATATAAAGAAATATCTAAGACTAAAAAATTTATAAAGAAAAGAGGTTTAATTGGCTCACAGTTCTGCAGGCTGTACAGGAAGCATAGTGGGTTCTGCTTCTGGGGAGGCCTCAGGAAGCTTCCAATCATGGCAGAAGGCAAAGGGGAAGCAATGTCTTACATTGTGGGAACAGGAGCAAGAGAGGGAGGAGGAGTGCCGCACACTTAAAAAACCAGATCTCACTAGAACTCACTAACTACCGTGAGGACAGTACCAAGGACAAAATTTGCCATGATCCACTTACCTCCCGCCAGGCCCCACCTCCAACATTGGGGATTACAGTTC
Source organism: Homo sapiens (assembly GCF_000001405.40). NCBI lineage: Eukaryota > Metazoa > Chordata > Mammalia > Primates > Hominidae > Homo > Homo sapiens. The sequence goes on from NC_000002.12 coordinate 57,288,491, forward strand.
AACATGAGATTTGGTGGAGACACATCCAAATCATATCAAGGACTTTTTCCCTCCTTTGATATTTTACCAATGGGGACCTCAGCCCATAGACTTGATGCCTCCTTTAGGAGACCAATTATGATTTCTCTCAATCCCTAGATCCCCACAGTCTACCATACCTAGACATTCTCTGTTTCCTCCCATTAAGTGGCCTTTGTGGGTGAACTCTCTCCCAAAATGACTAAAAGTGGTTCCTTAATTGAGAGCCACATCTAGCCCATGGGAGATAGGCCCTGGACCTCTCCTGTTAGGGGAAAAAAGCATACTTTCGTAATATCTCTCTAGTCTGCCACCAGCTGCTGCACTAGCCACACCTTTCTCTCATACTTTCACAGGTGAGATTCAGATATATTCCCAGGATTCCCAAATCCTGGGGACTCTTACACTTTTCAGATTATTCTCTGAAGTCTCTTGATTTGTTGAAGAGGGAGGAAATACCTCAGCTCTCTGATAACGCTTTTTATGTAATTTCTCCTCTTTCCTGACCCACTTCTATGAATCTAGAATTACCTAAAATGTGATTAGACAAGCTACATGCTGCAAAACTGCTTTTGGAATTTGTTAACATGCCGTAATAAGATGTTAGGTTGGTGCAATAGGAATTGCAGTTTTTGCCATTAAAAGTAATGAACAATTCCTTTAGCACTAACAATAATTTAGCACCTAAAAGTCAAGCATTTAGAAGTCTGAAATTCTGAGGCAGCAGAAAATAACAGTTACTTTCCAGGTAATGTGAAACACACACATATGCAAGTATGTTCACAGGCCATACATGCAAATTTTAATGCTATTACATAAACACATAGGTAGGCATATATTTCATATGCTACAACATTTATATACATATATAAAAACTTAAGACACAGGCATGCACATTTAGTTAACAAGCCAATACGATATTTGAGTGTTTCTGGGTAATATATCAGTGTATCTCACAAGCTACTAAACTGGTTAATTAAACATTAGATAGCTATTTTCACTATAAAGATGGAAAACGGCTACTCTGTTATTCTGCCTGACTCCTGAGTTGAGGAGAATAGAGTTTAAATTTAAAAACTTGCAAATCGTACAGGGCACAGTGGCCCAGCACTTTGGGAGGCCGAGGTAATCCCAGCACTTTGGGAGGCCAAGGCGGGTGGATCACCTAAGGTCAGGAGTTTGAGAACAGCCTGGCCAACATGGTGAAACCCTGTCTCTACCAAAAACACAAAAATTAGCCAGGCGTGGTGGCATGCCCCTGTAATCCTAGCTACTCAGGAGGTTGAGGCAGGAGAATCGCTTGAACCCGGAAGGCAGAGATTGCAGTGAGCCAAGACTGTGCCACTGCACTCCAGCCTGGGTGACAGAGCAAGACTTTGTCATCAAACAAACAAAAACATGCAAATGCAGTTGATATAAGGATCATTTTGTAAGGGCATGATATTAATTTTAAAACATCGATATTGATTGACAGAGAAAGTATACAATTTAAGAAATTTGGATTTAGCCATCATAAAATTGAGTCAGTTACTTTGTTTTCCAAGCAATATATTTTCACTGGAAAAAATTGAGCCCACCATTCAACCACTGGGCATATGTTGATTTAGGCATATAGTCTCTGACTTATATAAAACTAAATATAATACAAACCAGAAGCCCAACCCCCAAATTATAAATAGTACCGTATGCACAGATGGAATAAAGAAGTCCCAAGATTTTCTAAATTCTTCATTTGATCTTAGCCAAAAGGCCGAGAAGCGATAAGATTTTCTAAATTCTTAAACTGATTTTGTCTTGAACTTTCCATCGAGATCTGAGAAAAGATAAGGTTAATAGTAAACAAACAAAAAGTAAAGCCAATCTAAGATAACAATATAACAAGAATTCTTCAATACTAGAAAAAAAATAAATAATGGATACCATATAAGGAAAATGCTCAGCTTCATTAGAAATTAAAAAATAACAAAAATCAAATTTAAAGTACTATATATATATGTATATATGTGTATATATATATAGTTGAAGTGCTATATACACAGCACTTTAAAGTCTAATAAATACCCTCCTTAACCTACAAATTAGCCATCAGGACAAAAGTAGGCTGAGATGATCACTTTGATACACTGCTTACAAGAGCATAAATTTGTGTAATCTTTGAATAGCAATTTTACAATCACAGACCTCAGAATGCTTCATTGCCTCTGCCCTAGTAACTTTTACATCCAACATGAGAAAATAATTCAAGTGAAACATAATGAATAACAGCATTATGTTGTTGTTTGTAATAGTAAAACAATGAAAGTGTCCAACAAGAACAGAATGCTTACTTTAATTGTTGTACTTGCATTATGAATGTTAATCAACCATTAAAAATTATGTTTATTCAGGGGTAGTTAGAATATGAGAAAGTACTTTTGATGAAATTAATAATACAGGTAAAATTATATAAAACTATGATCCCAGCTATAAGCAAATATCTCCCTTAACTTCTGGCAGAAACAATACAGAACATTTCTAAAGGAAGATATTCCCAATTCAGACCCATTGGCTCTCCTATTGATGAATTCAATAAAATATGAACTAAAAAGAGTTGAAAAATGCAGGAGATAACCAGTTACTATCTGTCAGAGTCAGAAACAGCAAAAGATTTCGATTCTTAAGAACTATCAAATACAATAACTGACCTATATAAAGGGTAAAAATTATCTTTAGTATCTTTGAAGAAACAATAGAGGAAAGAAATGATGGCTAACAAATAACGATCCATTGAAAATAATTATTTTAAGTTGAAAACACAAACTGTAGGGTCCTCTAGTCCTCCCCACTTTCTTTCTGTGTCCTAAGAAACACAGAATGCCTTAAGCACTGTGTGACCCTGCCAGCTGCCTCTTTTTCCTGTCAGGCTTAACCTGAGCTGGGACCTTGAACATTCCCAGACACTGATAAAGATGTTTAGGATGTGGATCAAAACACTTAAAGAAACCGGCCTGTGCCCTGAGCCAAGTTCTTTAAGCTTGCATATAAACTTCACACCCTGATGCCATTGCTGCAGACATACTGAGGAAGAGCATCCCTTTCTCTCTGTCTGCCTAAATATATGCTGCAGTACTTTGCGAGGTCATCTAACACTTGCTTTGGACTGGTCACCCTGCAGTGCAGTTTACTGCTTCTTTCTTTGGAATCCCAAAGAACTCCCTTGTGAGAACTTTATTGCTGCAGCATTTGGAGCAACTCAGTTGGGGTTCAGCTAAAATAAGAGAATCAAATAGAATCTCTAGAATAAAAATATGTATGATACACACACACAGACACACACACACAAAGACCATTGTATATAATGAACAATAGAACTGAATGAATATTTAAATATTGCTAAATAATTGATAAACCAAGGGACAGAGCTGAATGGTAGATACCATTTTTTTTTCCTCAGGGTAAAACTTTATTTCTAACAACCTACATTCTTTATACAGTAAGTCTTCACTTAATGTTGATAGGTTAGTGGAAACTTGAAGGGCAAAAGCCAGCTTTATGACAGGCTAATTGATATAACAAGAGTTATGTTCCTATGGCATATTTATGGTCAGAAAATCATCACCAACTTGTAAATAATGACCAAATCACTTCTGATATTAAATCTCAACATAAATGTGAGCTATACATGTATTTAAGAAAGATGAATAAAAGTATCAGTATAAGCACATAAGGTAATGATTTACCTGCTTATTCCAGTTTAGGGTTGCAGGTGGCCTGAGCTTCTCCCTGCAGCTTAGGACACCAGACAGGAAACAACCATCCCTACACAGGTAGTATCACCAGGTGTACTCACTGACCCCCCGCACTCACTCTGACTGGGACCATTAGATGAACTGAATGTGCATAACTTTGGAATGTCAGGGAGACCTGGGTACCCAGAAAAAAACCCATCCAGACCTGGGGAAAACATGTAGACTCTACCCAGACAGTGAACCCCAGTGGGAATATATATGTATATATATATTCTTTTTTTCTCATCAACGTTATAAGGAAACAATGTTGAATGAAATGACTGTTATTCAAAGACCTGCTGTACCTAAATCTGCAAACAGAGAATTGAATTTTGCAAACATTCAATCAAGCAGGATTGGCTACCTCTGGAATCAACTGAATATATTCTGAAATACTCCTTTCTTTGTTCCTGATGATCTTATTTCAGAACTTCTCCTACTCACGTGCTGTGGACAGAACTGATATGATATGATAGCTGTTCTATTTATATTGGTGATCTACACTAATGTAGTCTCATTGCTTGGAACCTTGCTTTGAGCCATCATAAACGTCCAAATTGCTTCCATCAAAGGATGCCTTTAGAGGACTTCATTGTGACCGCTACATAGAATGTGAAAGTTCACAAATATTATCCTTGTAAACCCCTAGCATTATGGGGTTGGAATATATGTAACAGGTCTGTAGTGTAAGCAGCCACCTTGCATCCAGCAGTTTTGGTTGTTGTTTGGAAATGCAGATCTGCAAAAGACATAACAAGAACTTCAGTTTTTTTTTATGTGTTCTATAGAATCATTGAATGAAATATTCAAATGATTTAGAAGAGTCTTGACAAATGATATTAACCTTTCAAAAATATTTTTTGAACTAATGAATAGCACCTTCTGAGCCTAAAGACAGTATTAATTCAGACTTTGATAATGAAAAAATATATATATAATAGAATAAAAAGTCGACATTTATTGAGTGTATCCTGTGTGCCAAGAACTGTGACATTTGTTCTACAAATGTTGTTTTATTTTAACTCCACTATGACCTTAAAACTAATACTATTTTATAAATAAGAAAATCAGGTCTTAGAGGTTAATAATACAATAAGTCACAAAAAGAACTGGAGTTCATGACTTCAATACAGGATTATGAGATGTTATAGCTTATGTCTCCTCTTATATAATAAATGTACCTACAATTTTAATACAATTCATAAGCCCTTTATAATCATCTTTTTAAAAACTTAAAAATACAGTGTATTTCATTTTTTCCTTATCTTTTTGCATTTTACGATCAAATTTAATTTGCTTATGAAAACTTCAGATACTAGAAAAAGGGGAAATACATTCCAACTGATCTGAAGACTTTGGTGTAGTAGTTATGCCAAATCAGTGATTACAGTAAGATAAAATTGTACATCAATCTAAGCATATACATAGAAAATTCTAAACAAAATATAATACTGTATTTATATTAAAAAATCAAGTTGAATTTATCTGAGAAATTCAACGATGATTTTACATGAGCAAAACTAAAACTAAAACCCATATAATCATCTACATAAATGCACAACAATGATTTAGTAAATGTCAACTTTAATTTGGGACAAAAATTCAAGAAAATCTAGGCAAATCATGAAGTCTTCTTAATCTGATAAAAATGATACTTAGAAAATCAACTTTGAGTAAGCATTATTCTAAATAGAAAATAACACAATATTACATTTAGAAACAGGAACCAATCAAGGTGCTCCCAAATCTACTTTTATTCCATATTTTACAGGATATTCTGGCCATTATATTAAGGCAAAAATTAATTCAAGGAATAACTTTATTAAAAGAAAAAATAAAATTATTACCTACAATGTGATTTTAAAATACCAAAGTTTTGAACAAGAAATTCTGTTGCTGGGATTCTTTTCCCTAGGTGCACTTGAATATCTGCAAATAAATATCTGATCAAAGATTATCATTTTAGCATTGCTCATAGTAGTGACAAATTGAGAAAAATATATTAATAAATTCTAATTAGTAGAGAATTTGGAAAGTAATATTGTTTTATATTGAATAAGAAAAACAAATGAAAGGATTAAATGAGCAGGTTGCTTACAAAATAATTCACACAGTATCATCTCATTATCAAATGCATTCATGTGTGTTTATGTGTGCACACATGCATGTATAAGATGGGGAATAGTTAAATACATTGAACAATATTAGCAGCAATTTTAACAATTAAGTAGCTCCAAATATAGTAACACAAAATGTCTCCAAGATATTAAGTCGGGAAGAAAACAAAATAAGCTTATAAAGCATGGACATAGTTATATAAGAATGTTAACTAAAAATTGCCGATATTCAGATATGCTTACATGAATTTTTATGCACAGGAAAACACTGCATCATCACCAGTGTTTACTGCTAAAGGGATAAGGATTTGAGAGAGAATGATGTGTTTTAATAACTCTTTCCAGTATCAAAATTTATATTATTTAGTTTTATTAGCATTAAGGAAATTTAAAAAAACTAATTAAAATAAAATGTACTATATTATCTCTTACAGAATAAAATAACAGATATAGGAAAAAAGCTAAATTTTTATTGTTTTCTGGTTGAAAATACATAATTTCAAGAAGTCTTTGTTTTCCCATGAATCCAAATGCTTCCTTTCTTTAATATACCACAAAATTATTTTAACCTGTTTCCTCCACAGTTTGGCACTTCCATTTGGGATTAATCTCCTCTGTGTATGTCCTTGTTTAGCTTAAGAGGCTCCAAGGAGACTGAGAGAAAAGACTGTAACAGGCAGCTCAAGGCTTGTGCAGAGTTTGAGATTTTACCTTTCTGGAAGCCATGATATCCCTGGGTCAGAAATAAAGGACTACTACTCACAGCAATAGCAGTAGCATGTGAATTAACATCTGCTTGTGTCATTTCACTGTGTCCAACTTCTTTTTTTTTTTTTTGAGACGGAGTTTTCCTCTTGTTGCCCAGGCCAGAGTGCAATGGCAAGATCTCAGCTGACTGCAATCTCCGCCTCCAGGGTTCAAGTGACTCTCCTGCCTCAGCCTCCCCAGTAGTTGGGATTACAGGCATGCACCACCACACCCGGCTAATTTTGTATTTTTAGTAGAGACAGGGTTTCTCCATGTTGGTCAGGCTGGTCTCTAACTCCCGACCTCAGGTGATCTGTCCGCCTGAGCCTCCAAAAGTGCTGGGATTACAGGCATAAGCCACCGCACCCAGCAGGCTATGTCCAACTTCCTATTGGGAAATGCAGAGTCAAATGACATCTGAACATACAGTGAACTGCATTACAGGAGAGGAACTCTGAGCTCAGAATATAAATATGTTATAAAAGGTCAGTAAGCAAGCCTGAACATTGCTCCAGAGAGAAACACTATTTCTATCTGCCAAACTTGTTTATTACAAAACAAAAAGCCTGAAAGGTAGTCCAGAAATGAAAAACAAAATGAAACAAAACAACAGTCATTGCCTGTGCTTGCAAGACAAACATGTCTAAATGCAAAATGTCAAAAGACATATAAAGGTTGTTTGGATAAGTCACTATTGAACACTGTTGCAAGGGTCTTTCATATAACTAATTTGTAGAGTCATATTTATCATAAGTAAATGCTGTATACTATTTAATTGGATGATCTTTGATAGTATGTTAATAGATGTTTAAGAATATACAGAGCAGAAACCTAATTGTGTAAAATCTTAGTGATAGGCAAGAAAAAAGTATTAAAATTTAAGATGAGGGACAATCTACTTCTAGTAGAAATTGTCCAATAAAAAAATATTGTAAGACAATATTCCAAAATAGAAATAGAAAGTTATCTGGGGAAAGTAGGTTATATTCCCCTGCATATTGTGAGACTACATTAAGAAATTAAGTTGAAAAGTGTTCAGTAAAATTAAAATAAAGATATTTTTAACTTGTTTTTCCTTTCTCCTTGGAAATTCAGTTGATTTCAAGCATGTGCTTAAGGAGAGAGGCATTTTTTCCGTGGAGAAACCCAGAAGGCACCAGCTTAACCAAGTGATCAAGGTTAAGGTCAATGCATCACTACTTACCGACATCAAGTAACTCCTATTGGACACACTAAGAAAGGCACATCACTTCTGTGGTATTCCTGCCGAAAAGGCATATGCTTTTTTTCATCTAACGATGAAAAAGCATCAGACAAATCTAAATTGGAGGACATTTTGCAAAACAAAAGACCAGTTTTCGCCAAAAATGTCAAGGTCATGAAAGACAGGGAAAGATTCAGAAACTGTCACAAGTTGGAGAAAACTAGGTGGAAGCAATAATATGGAATGCTAGATTGGATCCTAAAAGAGAAAAATATATTAGTAGGTAAGTTAGTGAATACTGAATAAAGCCTGTATTTTAGTTAATAATATGCACTCATGTTTAATTCTTAGTTTAGTTAACTGTATTGTGGCTAAATAAATGTCAAGATTACAGGAAGTGGGTGAAAAGCATATAGGAATGCCTCCTACTCTTTTTTTATGGTTTTTGTTTTCCTTTCTTCTGTAAGTCTAAAAAAAATTTAAGCATATGAAACCAAGAACAAAAATATGAAAAATAAACCATGTTTTACATATATACCAGTCTTATGTATACTGGGGCATTATAGTAGATTATTAATTTAATGGATGCCTCCAATGAGTCATACCTTCATGTATCCATACCTTTACACATTGACTAAGGTTTTGGCCATGGGATTTGCCTTGGCCAATGACAAATAAAAAAAAACATGAGGCAAGAACAGAATTAATGAGCACCTGAGCATCAGGACTTGCTCTTCTAGAATGCTGTTACTGCTATATTCTCCTACAGGCTAACCTGCTGGCTGGGCCAATAAAAGAAGAATAAGTCTTCCAAAGAGCAGCCACAACTAACCACCAGAAATGTGAGTGAGACTTTTGTGGGTCATCCAGCCCCAGTCAAGCTACCAAATAACTAAAACTGTAAGAGAGACAAAAGACAAGACCAGCGGAAATACCAGCCAGATGATCCACCAGCATTGCAAAAGTATGAGCAAATAACTCATTGTTTCAAACTGTAGATATAGATGTTTTTTCTTGTGAAAACTACTCAACTGTGTACCTACTTTGGTGTCTCTCTATGCTGAATAAAGTGAAAGTAACAAGCAATATTTTCTCTTTAAATGGGTATGCATCAGTTGTAGTCTAACATAACTAATGTCAGAATAATGGCCATGGCCTCTTACGTAACTTGTATGCACAAGGATTTTCTATTCTCTACTTCTGTCAGAAAGAAAGTGAGTAGTATCGCTAAGCAATGGATTACTTCTTATAGGTGTCTGTTCATGTAGGAAGAAATAGTTCATCACTGTGAATGAGAAATGGACAGTGTCTGTTTGACTATTGTCTATTTGTACTGACAGATGCTCTACTTTATTCAGTACAAACATCTAGCTATAAAAGGAATGGTAATTTAATGGAATATTCAAAGCTGTTGCTTAAAGATGTGACCTTTTACCGGGGGCAGTGGCTCATGCCTGTAATCCCAGCACTTTGGGAGGCCAAGGCGGACAGATCACCTGAGGTCAGGAGTTCGAGACCAGCCTGACCAACATAGAGAAACCCCTTCTCTACCAAAAATACAAAATTGGCTGGGAGTGATGGTGCATGCCTGTAATCCCAGCTACTCGGGAGGCTGAGGAAAGAGAATCGTTTGAACCCGGGAGGCGGAGGTTGCGGTGAGCTGAGATCATGCCATTGCCCTCCAGCCCCAGCAACAACAGTGAAACTCCGTCTAAAAAAAAAAGAAAGAAAAAGATGTGGCCTTTTAAATGGAACAACAACAACAACAACATCAAAAAACAGATTAAGGTATATCTGAATCTTTCGGTCAATTATTTTCTCTGGATTTACAAACTCTCTGAAGCATAACACCTACCTAAAAGTGTTTCTGAAGTTTCAGTCTCTTCTTACAATTGTTGTGCAAAATGCTTCTGGCAGGCTCTGATTCAAGGTAATAATGATGTTTCTGAAAGGAAGCAGAGATAGCTCCTATCTTCTGAGTACAACTTTAAGGTATTCTTATTGTTGCTCTTTTAACCCCATGCCTTTATTGATCAATGTCAGTCTTCATTAGATCCTCTTTGCCAGGAACTCTTGGATTCCCCTGAAGCCCACAGCACAAGAAGAAGATCGCAGGTGCTTCTGTCATCAGTCATTCTGTCTTCTCCTAAGGACACAGATAATTAGACATTGGACACTTCCCTGAGACGTTCTTAATATATATTTTTTAATTACCAACTACTCTTCTTCCTTTCCTTTTAAATGTGTTTTTGCTTTGAGGAATGCTGCCATGCTGATATAGATAATGAATTGTAAAGAATTTTTTTTTCAAGGTGATGTTTCAAATGCTTCACTCTTTTGATAAAAAAATTGTTTGATAAAAATGTAAAAAGAATAGAAGTGAAAAATAAATTCATAATTATTCACAGATGATATATTATATATTAAAAATTCCAAATAATCTATTGATACATTATAAAGATGAGAATTTATCAAAAGTCTTAAGTGCAATATTAATATACATAAATATATCAATAGTATTTACTATAAACTGTCAACAACAATTTGGAAAATGCAATGCTAGATGATGCCATTTATAATAGCTTCAAAGATTATCAAATGCAAAGCTACAATGAAACACTATTACATAAACATTAGCATTTAGAAAAATATAAACATCAAATGTTGTTAAAGGTTAGGAACAACCAGAACTCTCATACATTTTTGGTTGGAGATAGAGTGTCAGAACTAATTGGGAAATAGTTTCAGGAAAGTCTTGTAAACTTAAATAGTCATCTTCTCCATTCCCTAGTCTATCCACTTTTGAATACTTATCCAACAAAAATGAAAATATACGTCCACACAAAGACTTAGACTAGAATATTCATATCAACTTAATTCATCATAGAACACAATGGAAAACTACCCAATATATTATAAACAGGAGAAAGGATAAACAAACAACAATTATTAATACAGTGGAATAGTTGGAATAGTGCTATGTAATGAAAATGAAGGAGGTATTTGTAACCATGATGATATGAATAAAAACAGCAGATATAACCAAACCAAAAGATTCCAGGAAGAAATGTGCCTACTGCATGAATGAGTCCATTTATATATAATATGGAAAATTAATCTGTGGATTAACTGAGAAGAGGCAGGGATAAATTTCTGGGGTAATGGAAATATTCTATATCTTGGTAGAATTATTTTTATACTAGTAAATGTAAAATTTATCTTAAAAAGGAGATGGCTAAAAAATCTTTGAACTCTAATTAGTAAATAATAGATTTTCTTTACAGAGTGGTATCAATTAGAAATTTTGAAACCCATGTTTTCTATAAATTTTATTTGATTCAATGAGGAAATATATTAAGGATAGAAGATAGGATTTAACTGTTGGAAAAGAGAGTTACACATATGGAAGGAGAAAGCATACATAATATATTTCCTTTTGCTCATAAATATTATTTTTCACTACAGGCAACCAAGGTTCTTTGGAGAAATGACTGATTCTAGGATGGAGCAGAGAAAATATAGAGCCTAGAACCCTAGTTTTACACTAGAAGCTAAGGACAGTCTCAAAGAGTAATGAGCTGTTTCAGAGGACTCAGGAACCAGCCTGAAATATTTTTCACTGACTACATCTGGGAAAATTTGAGTTTCAAAATAAATAATGATACAAATGGATTGTAATTTTTTGATGAATTAACAATGCATAAATTCATATCAATGAAGGAAGGAGAAAAGAAAGGATAGAAAGGAAAAAAAAAGAAAGAAAGAAAAGGGTGACAGTAAATGCCATCTTGGCAGTGAAAAGTTTGGAGGAAACTACTTTGTCCAAACAATCTAAGTTAGTCATATAAGAGTTAAAAAGAAATTATCTAGGCAGTCAGTGAAGGTAAGAGAGACCTCGGTAAGGTTTTCCTTTTAATGAAAAGAATCATCATGAGGCTATAGTTTTTAAGATGATATGGTATTGGTGAGAGAAAAGAAAAACAGAGTAGCAAAGACTCTAGAAACAAGTCCACTTATATATAGTCTTTAATTTTTCCAAAGGCAGCACTCAATTAAAAGGAGGAAATGATAATTTTATGAAAATGGTGCTGTAACAATTGGATATCCATAATGAAAAAATAATGTCTTACACTATGCACAAAAATTAATTACAGGTAAATTGTCATCCTACATGTCAAAGGTAAAATAAAAGGCTGAGAAGAAAATATAAGAAAATATATTCATCTTCCTAGATTAGACAAATGTTTCCTGAACAGTGAGCAAAAAACAACCACAAGTAAAAGAACAAAAAATTGAACTTTATTAAAATTAAAATATTTTCTTCTTCAAAAGCTTATCATCAGTAAAAGAGGTCAGCTAAAGGCTGGGAGATAATACTTGAAAAATATTTATCTTGCCAATAATTCAAATCAGTAATATATTTTTTGTGTACACATAGAGATAGGATATGGAATATTAGATACTGGAGACTTGGAAGGGTGGGCAGGTGGTGAGGAATGAGATATTACATAATGGGTATATGGGTATACTGTATACTAAGTAGGTGATGGTTACACCAAAGCCCAGGCTTTACCACTATGCAATATATCCATGTAACGTAAATGCACTTAGACCCCTTAAATTTATACAAATAAATAATAATAATAATAATACATTTTTAAGAATTCTCACAAATCAATGTAAAATTATTGGTTCAATTTAGAGTATTAAAAATATGTAATGGGAATTAAAAAATCCAAATAAACATATGAAAAAATGTTCAACTTCTTTGTTCATTATTAAAGTGTGAGTTATAATTACAAAGAGATAGCTTTACACAACCACTAGGATATCTAAAATGCAATTGAGTAACAATATCGAATAATGTTAACATGGTTGAAAACATTGATATTTTTATTGATTAGGGATATACAATTAGATGCAACCACTTTGGAAATTCATTGGTCAATATTTCACAAAGTTGAACATAAATTATTTTATGACTCAATTTTATCCCTGGAGATGAACCCAAGAGCAATACATGTTCATGAATACAATGAAAGTCATGTACAAGAATGTTCATAGAAACTTTCTGTAGCACTCATGAAAGTAGCAAAGATAAATAAATTGTTTCAGAGTAATGCAATTGAACCCTTCAGCAATGAATATTACAGATTTTTTTTTGCACGCAACAGTGTTCTTCAGTAAATGAAATCAGATATAGAAGAGTACACATTTGTTTTATAAGGTTTAGAATTTGGGAGACTATAGTAAGAGAAGTTCCAGGAGTGATTATCTTTGGTTAAGGACTAAGAGATGCAATAGAAATTTCAGCATCTCTTGTAAGGTTTGATTTTTATTTTGATGCTGGTTCATAGGTGTTTTCCATTGTAAAAATTGCATATACTGAATTTATAATCTGCAGACTTCTCTGTACAAGTTATACTTCAATATAACTAAGCTTACCTAAAAAATAAAATTTGTAAACCTCCCCACCACCATAAAAGATTTCTATTAATATTTAGAATGGTGCTATTGTGCAGAAAAAAAGCTTCCAGAGGGTATTTCTCAGCAATTTGAAACATAATAATTATTTAAAAAATAAGAAAGATGCTTTCTTGCATTAGAACACTCCAGAAATCAGTTTCTTGTTGAGTAAACAAACTTGCATATTTGCTGTACCACAAACAACAAATACTTCACTACATCTGAACATGGACTGGACCATCATTTTATAATGTGCACCTTCTCTCCATCTTCTCTCTGACATAGCGGTGTAAGAAAGTTTTCGGGTTTAGACTCCCATTTCAGATTCCATCTCTTCCAAGCAGATTTATCTTACTCTGCTAGACAGAAGCAATCCTGATCTCCTGTGAAATCACTTAGATATTTAATTACACCTTTGTTGCCACATATTGTGCTATTTTCTTGAACTGCGTTTGCGTTTTTTGCAGATTAGTGTTTTACTTGTCTAAATATCTAAAATCTATCAAATAGATAATGTCAATTTCTAAAAGAAGGGGCTCCATGTGGTACTTGTCCATGTTCCTCACGGTACCTCATATTGGTAGGGTCTCATTCATAGGGTTCCTTGAAAGGATGTCAGGTGAACCTTTGAATATACAAAATATGAATTATTAACTAAGGAGGAGTACATGGTTACTGACTACACGATTTTAACCCCCTAGCTAATATAATCTAGCAGCAGTGTAAAGAAAAATGTTGCATCATATGACCAGGTTTTGAGACCTATAGATGCTGTGTGAAATTTGATTAATTCTCTTAGCTTTTCTGCATCTCTGAATCTTCCTACAAACAAGCAGATTATCAAATCTCAGACTGTGATAGTGATGATAAAATAAGATAATGTTTATGAACTAAACGAAAAATCACAGTATTAGACAAATGCAATAAAGATAAAAGTTATTGCTGATTGGGGTACATGGCACTGCTGTTTTACAGAGACTATATAGAGCTAATACAAAAATTTAAGTGTCAGAATTTTTTAACTTAAAAGAGTTAGTAATATTCATTAATTTTTATTATAATGCTCATTCAAATCACTTAGATAATTTGCTTCCCTTAATTCAAAGAAGCAATATATGACAAGAGAGGATACTGAGGAGAGCTGTTTATCAGGCTCCTTTTTTCTATTAAGTCCACATAGGTCTTGGGGAAGTCTGACATTACTGCACAACGATTTCAGCTTCTGTACAATGAGATGGTTAGGCCAGACATCATCTCTTAATTTATTTCTTATTTAATATTTTTTGATACTGAGGAAAGAGCAGAGAGACACTAATCAATTTATTTTATGCCATTTTTTTCTCCTTAATTATCTCTCTGTTTCCTAACCCCCCTTCCCCCATACTAATGTAAATTACGCTGGGTCCTGAATATTCCTTTTAGCACTGGTCATTTCTTCCACTCAATAGGGGAATGAGTGGTCCCCACAGTCAGAATATAAGGAAGAGAAAATTGTGTTCCTGGTATTTAGAATTAGAAATATAATTATCATACAAATATAGTTTCCAACATTCTCATTATTTTCTAGTTGTAAGTATATTGTTAGAAGAAAGAGCTGTCATCCAGGAACTGGAAGACATTATGGTAAGCAAAATAAGCCAGGAACAGAAAGTTAAAAACAACATGTTCTCACTCGTATGTAGAAGCTAAAAAAAAGTTGATCTCATAGAAGTAAAAAGTAGAGCAGAAGATATGATATGCTGGGAAGGGGAAGGGGAAGGTAGAGGATAGGGAGAGATTTGTTAAAAGTTATAAAATTACAGCCAAATAGGAGGAATGAGTTTTAGTGTTCTATACCATTGTAGGATGATCATAGTTAACAATAATATATAGTTTCTAATAGCTAGAAGGAGAATATTGAATGTTCCCAACACAAATAAATGACAAATGTTTGAGATGATGGATATGCTAATTGCCCTTATCAGATCAATATATATTACATTATTGAAACATCACTGTGTAACTCATGAATATGTACAATTATTATTTGTTAATTTAAAAAATAAATTTTGAAACAGGAAATTTAAAAAAAAGAAAAAATTGTCATCAATTTCCAAAACCCAAATTCTGCACCATTGTATGTATGTGTGTAAATATATATAAATATATACACATATATATAGTTAAATACATTTATAATTTATATTATATATAAGTATATATTTATATATAAGCATATAGTATGTAATATATAAATATATATGTACACCTGTATAGGGAAATATATAATTATGTATCCACATTCCTATAAGGAAATCATATTTTAGGTTGAAACCACTAATTAACAAATAAGTAATTTGCTCAGAAGTTCCCAGCTATATAAGCTACCACTGGCTTTCTGACAATCACAAAAATATACATAAAACAAACACAAACAAAGCAGCTTTATTAGTATTTTCTTACAAGCACTATTAAAGATGAACTAATATGCTGCTAGAATATGATGCTGTAAGCCAAATTTTTTTGTCAATTTCTTCTTGTCTGTTCACATTCAAAAATGAATTGAAACTCACACTATTTGCCAAAAAGTGGCAAATAAGAGAACAACCCTTCACATAAGTTAATCGCACCCTAATGAATTTTAATAGATAAGTATATTTGAATACTAAGTACAAAAATGTATTTTTCCTTCATGCATATAAGTTTGAAACAAATTTGAAGGCAAAAGTCCCTCTTCATGTATAGAAACTAGAACCTGTTAACTGGATACCTAATTTTTAACATTGTTTCTTTGTTTTACAAAGAAATATTTTATATACAAGATAGTTAAAGTAAATGGCTGGTGTCTATGTGACATCTCTCTGAAATTTCATCCACAAATGAAATTGGAATGTCCTTTTTGAATTAAACACTTGCTTTATTACCTTTTACTGTAAAACTTAATTTGTTATTTAGTCACAGCCATTATGAAATATAATATGTGCAATTATCAAATATTCTTATAAGAGTACCAGACAGTGAAGGGGACCAAACAATAACTTGCTGAATGTTTCAATAAACGTTAAAGAAAGTATGCAATTATTTTATCTAAGAACAGAGAAGAGACACTCAGGAAATGAATATTATTATTTCTTATTTAATTTAGTGCATCGTTGTTATTTACATCCCGAGAGAGGCATTGTTTATCGATATTTGTCTGCTTCTAAGTGCAGAAATTTTGTATAATAATGTAAAAACTTTTAAATATTTCTATCTTGTCAAAAATACAAAACTGAGTTCACCTGGCTGAGATAATTTTCCCTCTTCTCTCTTTCAAGTGATAGACTCAATTCTTTATTCTCTTTTTTTCAGAGAATCATACTCTTTTGTTAGCCTTGAAGATGATAAAACTACCTTTATTGCATGCTAATAGAGACATCAGAAAATCCTACGTACAATCATGCTTCTCATCAGTTTTTACTCTTGCTTTGCCCTTTGCCTTTTGATTTTGTTTGTTTGGTCTATTTTTGTTTCCCCCAACTCATCCCAGTTGCCATATTGCCCAGTGGATCTTTCAAAAAGAAATAACGTTATATTCTGGGTAATAAAATTTTTACACAGGCAGTACTTTAATATTAAAATGTTTACTCTCGCCGGGCATGGTGGCTCACGCCTGTATTCCCAGCACTTTGGGAGGCCGAGGCGGGCGGATCACAAGGTCAGGAGATCGAGACCATCCTGGCTAACACGGTGAAACCCTGTCTCTACTAAAAATATAAAAACACTAGCCGGGCATGGTGGCGGGCGCCTGTAATCCCAGCTACTCGGGAGGCTGAGGGAGGAGAATGGCGTGAACCCGGGAGGCAGAGCTTGCAGTGAGCCGAGATCGCCCCACTGCACTCCAGCCTGGGCAACAGAGCGAGACTCCAACTGAAAAAATAAAAAAACACTTTTATTGTCTTTAAAGTAAATCGCTGAAGTTTGATGCATTCCAGAGTTTTCTAAATATTTCATATTATGGAGACTGTGAAATTATTCTCAAGTTTTCCAAGAAATGTACAAGGGAATGGTTTCTCAGTGATACTTTTTTTTTTTTTTTGGCTAGTGATATTCAGACAAATTTAACTAATATATTTTCGTAAAAGTATAAAATAGTTAATAGAATTTCATGTTTTTTTGTTTTTTGTGATGGAGTCTCACTCCGTCGCCCAGGCTGGAGTGCAGTGGCGCAATCTCAGCTCACTGCAACCTCCGCCTCCCGGGTTCAAGCAATTCTCCTTTCTCAGCATCCTGAGTAGCTGGTACTACAGACGCGTGCCACCACATCCAGCTAATTTTTGTATTTTAGCAGAGACAGGATTTCACCTTGTTGGTCAGTCTGGTCGTGAACTCCTGATCTCAGGTGATCCACTTGCCTCGGCCTCTCAAAGTGCTGGGATTACAGGCATGAGCCAATGCACCCAGCCAGAATTTCATGTTTTTCTATGTGATATACTTTTATATTGTAGATATCAAATGTTCCTGATTCGTTAATCTGTCACTTATATGCCTCTGAAATTTTGCAAAAACCTACTTCTTTGATGTCTTCATGTATTCATACATGCATTCATTTGTTCATTCACTAAGTGCTTATTAGCCAATTACAGAATTGCAGGCTCTGAGCTAGTGTCTAGAGATAAAATAATAAACAGCAAAGTGTTTATTATTTTCAATGGTAAAATAAGTCTTTATTTATATAAGATATGATATTTATATAACACAATATAAAAACATTTTGCTTTTATATTTGTGTGTTTCCTCTACTCAAATAAACTAGAAAATCTAGAAGAAATAGATAAATTCCTCGACACATACACCCTCCCAAGACTAAACGAGGAAGAAGTTGAATCTCTGAATAGACCAATAACAGGCTCTGAAATTGAGGCAATAATTAATAGCTTACTAACCAAAAAAAATCCAGGACCAGATGGATTCACAGCTGAATTCTACCAGAGGTACAAAGAGGAGCTGGTACCATTCCTTCTGAAACTATTCCAATCAATAGAAAAAGAGGGAATCCTCCCTAATTCATTTTATGAGGCCAACATCATCATGATACCAAAGCCTGGCAGAGACACAACAAAAAAAGAGAATTTTAGACCAATATCCGTGATGAACATTGATGCAAAATTCCTCAATAAAATACTGGCAAACCGAATCCAGCAGCACATCAAAAAGCTTATCCACCATGATCAAGTGGGCTTCATCCCTGGGATGCAAGTCTGGTTCAACATACACAAATCAATAAATGTAATCCAACATATAAACAGAACGAAAGACAAAAACCACATGATTATCTCAACAGATGCAGAAAAGGCCTTTGACAAAATTCAACAACCATTCATGCTAAAAACTCTCAATAAATTAGGTATTGATGGGACGTATCTCAAAATAATAAGAGCTATCTATGACAAACCCACAGCCAATATCATACTGAATGGGCAAAAACTGGAAGCATTCCCTTTGAAAACTGGCACAAGACAGGAATGCCCTCTTTCACCACTCCTATTCAATATAGTGTTGGAAGTTCTGGCCAGGGCAATCAGGCAGGAGAAGGAAATAAAGGGTATTCAATTAGGAAAAGAGGAAGTCAAATTGTCCCTGTTTGCAGATGACATGATTGTATATCTAGAAAACCCCAACGTCACAGCCCAAAATCTCCTTAAGCTGATAGGCAACTTCAGCAAAGTCTCAGGATACAAAATCAATGTATAAAAATCACAAGCATTCTTATACATCAATAACAGACAAACAGAGAGCCAAATCATGAGTGAACTCCCATTCACAATTGCTTCAAAGAGAATAAAATACCTAGGAATCCAACTTACAAGGGATGTGAAGGACCTCTTCAAGGAGAACTACAAGCCACTGCTCAACAAAATAAAAGAGGACACAAACAGATGGAAGAACATTCCATTCTCATGGGTAGGAATAATCAATATCGTGAAAATGGCCATACTGCCCAAGGTAATTTATAGATTTAATGCCATCCCCATGAAGCTACCAATGACTTTCTTCACAGAATTGGAAAAAACTACTTTAAAGTTCATATGGAACCAAAAAAGAGCCCGCATCGCCAAGTCAATCCTAAGCCAAAAGAACAAAGCCAGAGGCATCATGCTACCTGACTTCAAACTATACTACAAGGCTACAGTAACCAAAACAGCATGGTACTGGTACCAAAACAGAGATGTAGATCAATGGAACAGAACAGAGCCCTCAGAAATAATGCCACATATCTACAACCATCTGATCTTTGACAAACCTGACAAAAGCAAGAGATAGGGAAAGGATTCCCTATTTAATAAATGGTGCTGGGAAAACTGGCTAGCCATATGTAGAAAGTTGAAACTGGATCCCTTCCTTACACCTTATACAAAAATTAATTCAAGATGGACTAAAGACTTACATGTTAGACCTAAAACCATAAAAACCCTAGAAGAAAATCTAGGCAATACCATTCAGGACATAGGCATAGACAAGGACTTCATGTCTAAAACACCAAAAGCAATGGCAACAAAAGCCAAAATTGACAAATGGGATCTAATTAAAGTAAAGAGCTTCTGCACACCAAAAGAAACTACCATCAGAGTGAACAGGCAACCTACAAAATGGGAGAAAATTTTCATAACCTACTCATCTGACAAAGGGCTAATATCCAGAATCTACAATGAACTCAAACAAATTTACAAGAAAAAAGCAAAAAACCCCATCAAAAAGTGGGCAAAGGATATGAACAGACACTTCTCAAAAGAAGACATTTATGCAGCCAACAAACACATGAAAAAATGCTCATCATCACTGGCCATCAGAGAAATGCAAATCAAAACCACACTGAGATACCATCTCACACCAGTTAGAATGGCAATCATTAAAAAGTCAGGAAACAACAGGTGTTGGAGAGGATGTGGAGAAACAGGAACACTTTTACACTGTTGGTGGGACTGTAAACTAGTTCAACCATTGTGGAAGTCAGTGTGGCTATTCCTCAGGGATCTAGAACTGGAAATACCATTTGACCCAGCCATCCCATTACTGGGTATATACCCAAAGGATTATAAATCATGCTGCTATAAAGACACACGCAATGTTTATTGCGGCACTATTCACAATAGCAAAGACTTGGAACCAACCCAAATGTCCAACAAGGATAGACTGGATTAAGAAAATGTGGCACATATACACCATGGAATACTATGCAGCCATAAAAAATGAGGAGTTCATGTCCTTTGTAGGGACATGGATGAAACTGGAAACCATCATTCTCAGCAAACTATCGCAAGGACAAAAAACGAAACACCGCATGTTCTCATAGGTGGGAATTGAACAATGAGAACACATGGACACAGGAAGGGGAACATCACACTCTGGGGACTGTTGTGGGGTGGGGGGAGTGGGGAGGGACAGCATTAGGAGATATGCCTAATGCTAAATAACGAGTTAATGGGTGCAGCACACCAACATGGCACATGTATACATATGTAACAAATCTGCACATTGTGCACATGTAACCTAAAACTTAAAGTATAATAATAATAAAATAAAATAAAAAAATAAAAAAAATGAAAAACACAGTAAAAGTGATGAAGCATGCATTCAACAAGCTCATCAACCAACTCAACACAACTGAGTAAAGAACGAGTAAACTTATCCCTTAATATCAGGATCAAGGCAATGATGATTTCTCTCACTAGTTTTGAAAGTCCTAGTAAGTAAAATAAAACAAGAAAAAGAAATAAAAGTCATAGAGAATAAAAATGGTAAAATAAGTCTATTTATATAAGCAACATATTTGCATATGAATTCACAGTCTTTAGATCTATAACAAAATCTCCAGATTTAGTAAAATAATTTTGGAATGTTCCAGGGTACTAGGTCAATTACATATTTGCATAATGGGCATGAACAAATGGAAATTTTTTTTTTTAATTTTAACTTAATTTAATTTTTAGAGGTGGGGTTCTGTGTTGCCCAGACTAGACTCAAACTCCCTCCTGGGCCCAACTGAGTCTTTTGCCTCAGTCTCCCAAGAAGTTGGGACTATAGGCACATGGAAATTAAATTTTAAAGTAATAGTTACAATAGCATCAGGAAAAACAAAATATGTAGGTACAAAGTTAACAAAAATAGATACAGGATTTGCATGTTACCTACGAATGCTGAATAAGAAATCAAGAATGTCTTAGTAAATGAATAAATATATTGAGTTCATGAATTGGAATATTCACTATTTTTATAATGTTCAATATTCTCCTAATCTATAGAATGATGCAAACCCAATCTAATTTGCTGTATATATTTTTGTTGTATTGACTAGCTTATGCTAATTGTATATAGAAAGGGACAGCATAGATAATTACCAAAACAAATGGAACAAAGTCAAACAAATTTGGAGGATTTACTAAAATCTGTTGTATTGGGAAAGGCAGTACCTATCCCAGGTTTAGATTTAGTGAGAAAGTATCTTTCTCTGTTTCAGACTCAATGAGTACGTCTTTACGTCTTTGTTCTGCTTAAGCACTGTGTTTCAATGGCGCTCAGGCATGCCCCTAGTTTTTGATATTTCATACTTCATGGAGGAGGTGTCAGAGTCCTTCTAGTGTAGCACTAGTTGGGTGCTCATAGGCCAGTTGCCCTGCATTGTCTTTTAGGAGGGACCATGGTGACAGATGTCCACTACCGAAACTGATCTTGCTCTGTATCTTTTTGTGAGTAAAGTAATTTTCCACCAAGTACTTGACTTGTGATTTTTTGGTGACTCCAATACTAACAGACAGTGGGCAGAAGTATCTGGACTTCTATTCCTGGTGGCTGGTATTGTGATGATCTTCATTACCCTCCATATAGTGAGAGTCCTCTTCTGGCATTAGTAACTGGTGCACAGTGCTCTGCTCTACATGTGTTATCGTGTTCTGGGCAAAAGAACAACATAGAACAGATTAGAGAGCACATAAATATACACATAACATACAGTCTGCTATTCATTAGTAACAATGCAAAAGAAATTCACTAGAGAAAATTTTGTTCACAAAACTAGTGGTGCTTAACTAACTGGAACTTCAATACATACATCTAAACTTATGCAAACATTAAATCAATATGAACCATAGACTGAAATCTAAAATTTAAAACTATAATTCATGAATTATATAATATATAGAGAAAAATATTCACAGCCATATATTAGAAAAAAGGTCTGTTTTGTGCCACAGTACCCATTACAAGAAAAATATAGATAAATTGGACTTATTCAAAATTAGAACCTATTTTTTCATGAATAAGTGAACTAAATCCTGCTAAGTGAATGAAAAGACAAACCATGCATTGTCTAATAAAAGGAATCAAAGATTCTTGAAGTGGTTGATTCACCTGATGATTAGGAGTATCTTCTGCTGTCGGAGAATAAGGAAATATCCAAAAAAGTCTGGAGATATGCTTAAATGGCACAGAAAACAACCTAAAAAAGCTCCTAAGGGCTAACATTAGAACATTTTAAGTAAAAATAAATAAATAAATAAATACATTGGATTATGACCCAGAAATGTTCATTAGGTAGTGAATGAAAAAACAAATTGTAGAATACCTAAATAATAAAATATTACTCAAAAATCAAAACAATGGGCAACTAATACATAGATAAGGTGGTTAACTGACAACCAATAAAATTGAATTGAGGAAAGCTTGATGTCAACAGCTCTCTACCATTACAAGAGCCGCTGATAAAACAAAGATATCTGGGTATAGAATTGCATAAAAATAAAACGTAACGAGTGAATCATGCTGCTTGGTTCTTGCTCTAAACGCAAAATTTAGCAGTGTCTAACCCAACTAGGGTCTGGATTATTCAAACCCTCTCCATAGTTAAATGAAATAGGAACTGATGGAGCATAATAATAGTAATTGATTTTTTAATAAAATTATCTTGTAGAAATGGAAAAATGAACAGAATTTACATTATATTACACAGCTCTTGGATAATATATTTACTATAGGTTCATCCAAGTGTTATTAATTGGCCATTAAGTGTTCAAGTATTATTAATTGAGCTTCTATTTTGTCTCAGGCATTTTGTAAATTTTTGAGGATATAACAGTAAACAAAACATATTTCCTTACCTTTGCAAGCTTCCCATCTAATTAGAGAGACATAACAGTTTTTCTCTGTCAACCTCACCCCCTTCTTTCTCCCTCACACACACATACACAAACAAAAAGATACAATTTTTAACAAACAACCTCCAATGAATTTGAGGAACTCCAAACTCTAATCAAAGTCTCAGCATCTTCTTGTCTTCTGAAACAACTTTGATCCTATACATCTTGAATTTTCTAAGGTTCCTACATGTCCTGTAATGATGCATGAATAAAAATAAAAGTACCCATCCCCCCTTTCATTGCCTAATGAATTCAACACATTCAACAACCAGATTTTTGAGGAAGATAAATTAGGTGCAGCTATAAGTTCATTTCAGGGCTGACTGTTGATTGAAACATGAAGGATACATTTTCAAAGTCAGTACTGAGAGAGAACTGATTTATGTTACTTCATCAAAAGATAAACAAGGTGAGATTTTACTCATTAATACGACATAGGTTTAATCTCTTTTCTACTTGAGCTGCAAACTATTTCTAAGTCCTAATGAAACTAGTTTAATGGTATTTTTAGGATTGCAAATGTATTTTCACTACCAGGATCTAAGTTAAAGAAAACCTATCTTGAAAATATGATTTTCTAAAATCTTGCAATTTCTGGAATTTAGATCTAGTTTATATATATATATGTGTGTGTGTGTGTGTATCTATATCTGTATATGTGTGTGTATATATATATCTGTATATGTGTGTATACACACAGATACACACACAAGTATAATGTATATGCATGTATAAACAATAAAGAATATATTGACCTTCCAACTTCTTTAAGTTTTTCTTCCTCCAGCAAAGAGAAAGCTGACACATATTAGTCGCTATGACTACTCATTAATTATAGTATATAACTGGAACTCATCAATTGTTTTGCCCCATTTGCTTACCCAAATGGCTAAAATACTGGACTCTCTGATTCCTTGCAAGATCAAATCTATATTCGATCTTGGATTATTTTTACAAAGTAGTCACAGAGCTCAATAGGATAGCAAAAACTAGCTGAATTTTATATGGACTCTGGTTTATAGGATATCCTGGCCCAGCATTAAAATATCTTGTGGATAGTAATTAAAACTACACAACTTTCTTAGTTTGGAGTTCTAAAATATGCTTGATTGATAGTATCTTAGCAGAATATGTGCCTTTTAACTTAATATCTGATTTAACCTGATAATCAAAATTGTCCCAATTTTTCAAAATATTACTGAGATAAATATCTTGACAGTCCAGTAGGAACCCATGGACTTAATTTCAAGTATTAAAAATGTAATATATAACTGAGAATCTTATAGAAGTTAATCTCATTTATCATTCAGTATAATATTTCCTTCTACACAATTCTTCGAGATGGTTTTGCATTCGTATAAGCTCCTTACCTACCCTGACTGCAGGGTAGCTTTTAAGTTGAGTATCTGTCCCAGATAGTCTAGGATTATCTATCTCCTACTACCCTGAAACACAGTAACTTGCTTTGATCTGGTCTTCCTCGTTTTCGTCTTGTGCCATGCATCTGAATTCTACATCTTTACCCGTCCTTTTCAGGATCATATCTTATTTGGACTCTTCACATGGCCTTTATTCATTTTTATTAATATATACCTGTAATAAATAAGTTTAGAATATCAACTTGACTAGATTAAGGGATGCCTAGGTATCTGGTAAAGCAGTATTAGCAGGTGTGTCTTGTGAGAGTGTTTCCACAGGAGATGGCACGTGAGCTGGTGGACCAAGTGGGGAATATCCCACCTCACTATGGGCCAGGAACCATCCAATAGGCTGGGAGCCCTGATAGAACAAAAACACAGTGGAGAGGAGAATTCACTCTTTGTTTTCTGAAGTTGGGACAGCCTTCTTCTCTGGCCTTTGGATATGGGCATCAGAATGCCAGGTTTTTGTTCTTTGGACTCCTGGACTTGTACGAGCATGCCCTCACCTCCTGCTCCTACCACATTCACAGGCTTTTGGCCTTGGGCTCAGAGTTACACAATTATTTCTCTGATTCTAAGGGTTTTGGTCTTGAACAGCCATGCTACCAGCTTCCCTGGCTTCCCAGTTTTCAGACAACATGCTATGAGACTTCTTAGCCTACATAGTCATGTGAACGAATCCCCTTAATCAATCTCCTCTCTATGATCTATGTATCTATCTATTTACCTATCTATCTAACTACCTATCTATCTATGTATCTATCTGTTTACATATCTATATACTATTCATTGGGTCTTTCTGGAAAATCCTGAATAATAAATTGATTACAAATTTTACCAATATAAACAATATGTAGTATACAATTTACAGATGATAAAATATTTAATACTGCTTCTTGCAAATTTTACATAGCCAGTTGATTCTAACAGAATTATTTTATTACTTTTCCAGCTCGAATGAGGTATAATTGACAAATAAAAGTTGTATTCATTTAAGATATACAAGTTTATGATCTGATATACATGTACATTGTGAAATAATCACCACAATCAAGCTAATTCAAGCTAATTAACATATACATTACTTCACATCATTGCAATTCTCTTCTTGTTCTTGTTGTTCTTCTCTGTGTGTGTGTCTGTGGGTGGAAAGAATATTTAATAGCTACATGATTTTTAAATCAACTCAGTACCTGCATCTTATATTACATCCAGATTCATGCTCTGCAGCTTGACATAAACTCTACCTCACAACTGCATGCCCTCAAAATCTGTCCCCCAAGTAATCATCCTCTCCTTGGCTTTTAAAAACTTATTTAAGCAGCTATTGCATCTTCATTTAACTCTGTCTTCTACAGATAAAATATCCACAGTAGCTTCAATGATTCCTCATAAGCCACATAATATAGTGCAATGGTTTCAAACTGTATTGAAAAGATGACTAGGAGTCATGCAGAGCTAATTTTCCATCACCCAGGAGTAGAATGGTGAGGGTTTGGCAGAGTCAGCATATATGTGGCTCTGTGCTCTGCATTTTTACTTCAAGCACAGGTTGCACAGCTCTGATAGTATTTGTTTTAAATACAACATACCTATTAGGCATGTTTGAAGATTTCATTAAACAAACAGGTAGGCTATAAACTATTCCCAAACAATAAGCTTAAATTTTAAAAGAATAGATTTTGGTGTCTGACAGACCTGAATTTAAAACACAGCTCAACACTTAGTAACCACTTACCTTGTATTACCTTAGATAGTTTAAGCCCATAGACACTCAAGTTTTTTAACTGTACCATTGGGAAAACAATCCATAATTTATATGTTGTAGGGACTAGGAAATTTATTTGTGTTTTTAACACACTGATAAAAAACATTTTCATATAATAAATGCTTGAAAAATTATTACTTGAAATTAAGGTTTCGGCCATACTGAATCAATGAGTGTCTCACTTATGCTATAAAAATTTATAAAACTGAACAAAATCTATGAAGAAACACTTTTCAAGTATTGAACAACATATCATGCAGTGGTTTGATCATTCAAAAAACTAAAACACATTAGAAGAGCTATACACTACTTACCTTACTATTGGACAGGGGAAAAATTCAAAACTAAGTGCAGGGAAGTCGAGCTCAAATGAAGGGATCAGTGGTTTTACTAGTTGGAGAAAAAGAAATCAATGTTCATGACTGCTGAGGTGATTGGAATTTGCAGTTGCAGGCATTGGAATGGAGGAATATTCACAGGGAAGGAGTTTCAGATGTGTGCCTTTAGTTGTTTTTCACTCAGCCAAATACTAATCTAACAGAGCAAAAGACCATGTTAGAGAACCATAGTGGAAAAGCTGAAGTGAGACACCAGAGATTGCAAAATGCTAGTAGTCTTTGAAGTTCTGACAAGAGTGGAGTTGATTTTGTGACTGATAATAATTTGAAGAGCCAAACATAACACAGATGTTGAAATTAATAGCCAAGGAACTTAACCAACTATTATAAATATTCACAAGATACTCAAGCAAAAGACAGACATAAATTGTTGAACAAATGGACTTTAAGGAGAAAAAACTGAAACAATAAAAAAGTCACAAGTGAAATTATAAATGCTTAAACACAATGTCTGAAATTAAAAATGTACTGGATTTTATTAAAATCAGATTGTATAGTGACACTACATCTGCATATAAGGCAATAGACACTATTCTAAATACGACGTGGAGAGGATAAAGATTTTAAGAAATTGACAATATTTTTAATTGTGTTTATTTGGATCTTCTCTCTTTTTTTCTATATTAGTCTAGGTAGCAGTCCATCTATCTTTTTAATTCTTTCAAAGAACCAGCTCCTGGAATAATTGATCTCATGTATGGTTTTTCATGTCTCAATTTCCTTCAGTTCAGCTTTGATTTTTGTTATTTCTTGTCTTCTGCTAGGTTCCTCTAGATGTGATGTTAGGCTGTTCGCTTCGAACTTTCTGATGTGGGCATTTAGTGCTATTATAGTCCCTCTTAACACTGCTTTGGCTGTGTCCCAGAGATTCTGATATATTGTATCTTTTATCCTCATTATTTCAAAGAACTTCTTAATTCCTGCCTTAATTTCATTAGTTACCCAGAAGTCATTCAGAAGAAGATTGCTTAATTTCCATTTAATTGTATGGTTTTAAGTTATTTTTCTTAGCATTGATTCCTATTTTTATTGCTTTGTGGTCCAAGAGTATTGTTGGTATAATTTTTTTGTTTTAATTTCTGGAGGGTTGTTTTACGCTCCATTGTGTGGATGATTTTAGAGTATGTGGCATGTGTCAATGAAAAGAATGTATATTCTGTTGTTTGGGGATCGAAAGTTTTGTAGATGTCTATTAGGTCCATTTGTCAAGTGTTAAGTTAAGGTCCTGAGTATCTTAGTTTTCTGCCTCAATATTCTGCTAATACTTTCATTAGGGTGTTAAAGTCTTCCACTATTATTGTGTGGTTATCTAAATCTCTTCATAGGTCTCCAAGATCTTGCTTTAGGTATCTGGAATGACAAAGGGGACTTTACCACTCAACCCACAGAAATATAAAAAACCCTCAGAGACTATTACAAATACTTTTTTGCACCCAAGCTAGAAAACTCAGAAGAAATTGATAAATTCCTGGTAAAACACAACCTTACAAGACTGATCAGGAAAAGATTGAATCCCTAAAGAGACCAATAATGAGTTCTGATATTGAATCAGCAATAAAAAGCCTACCAACCAAAAAAAAAAAAAAAAAAAAAAAAAAAAAAGCCCAGAACCAGACAGATTCACAGCTGAATTATACCAGATATATAAGGAAAAGCTGCTAATATTCCTACTGAAACTATTCTAAAAAATTGAGGTTAAGGGACTCCTTCCTCATTCCCTGAAGCCAGAATCTTCCTGATAGCAAAGCCTGGAAGAGACACACCAAAACAAGAAAATTTCAGGCCAGTAGCTTTGAAGAACGTAGATGTAAATATATTCAACAAAATACAAGAAAATTACAGAAGCACTTCAAAAAGCTAGCCCATCACAATCAAGTAGGCTTTATCCCTGAGATGCAAGATTGGTGCAATAAATATTATTCACCATATAAACAGATCTACAAACAAAAACCACCTGATCATCTCAATAGATGCAGAAAAGGCTTTTGATAAAATTTAACATTCCTCCATGTTAAAACCCTCCAAAAACCTAGGCATTGAAGAAATATACTTCAAAATAATAAGAGCCATCTATGAAAAACCCATTGCCAACATCATATTGAGTGGGTAAAAGCTGGAAGCATTCCTTTTGAAAACCAGAACAAGACAATAATGTCCTCTCTCATCACTCCTATTAAAAATAATATTAGAAGTCTTAGCTAGAGCAATCAGGCAAGAGAAAGAAATAAAAGACATCCAAATAGGAAGAGAGAAAGTCAAACAATCCCTGTTTGCAGATGGTATTATTCTATACCTAGAAAACCCCATAGTCTCCGCTCAAAATCTCATTGGTCTGATAAACACCTACAGCAAAGTTTCAGGATACAAAATCAGTGTACAAAAATCAGTAGCATTCCTATGTGCCAACAACATCCAAGCTGAGAGCCAAATCAAGAACACAATCCCATTCATAATAGCAACAATAACAAAAACTACCTAGGAATACAGCTAACCAAGGAGGTGTAATCCCTCTACAACAAGAATTACAAAACACAGTTCAAATAAATCAGAGATGCCACAAATGGCAAAGCATTCCATGGTCATAGATAGCAAGAATCAATATTGTCAAAATAGCCATATTGCCCAAAGCAATTTATAGATACAATGCTATTCCTATCAAACTACCAATGACATTCTTCACAGAATTAGAAAAACTCTCTCTCTCTCTCTCTATCTCTCTCTCTCTATATATATATATATATTAGATAAATATATATATCTAAGGCAATCCTAAACAAAAAGAACAATGCTGGAGGCATCACATGGCCATACTTCAAACTATGCCACAAGTCTACAGTAACCAAAACAAACACGGCATGGCATATGTGTCAGGTATGAAAACAGACACATAGACAAACGGAACTGAATAGAGAGCCCAGAAATAAGGCTGTACACCTACAACCATCTAATCTTCCACAAAATCAACATAAACAAGCAGTGAGGAAAGGATTCCCTGCTCAATACATGGTGGCCACATGCAGAAGATTGAAACTGGACCACTTTTTTATACCATATACAAAAATCTACTCAAGATGGATTAAACACTTAAATCTGAAACCAAAACCTATACAAACCTTGGAAGATAACCTAGGAAATACCATTCTGGACCTAGGACTTGGCAAATACTTCACCACAAAGGTGCCAAAAGCCATTGAAACAAAAACAAATATTGACAAATTGGGTCTAATTAAAGAGCTTCTGTGCAGCTAAAGAAACTATCAACAGAGTAAACAGACAATCTACAGACTGGGAGAAAATATTTTCAAATTATACACCCATCAAAGGTCTAATATCCAGAATCTATATGGAATTTAAACAAATTTACAAGCAAAAACACACAACCCCATTATAAAGTGGGCAAAGGATATGAACAGACACTTTTCAAAAATGGACATTCATGTAGCCAACAAGCATGTAAAAAATTCTCAACATCACTGATCATTACAGAAATGAATGTCAGAACCACAATGAGTTTCTCACACCAGTCAGAATGGCTATTATTATAAAGTCAAAAAATTATAGGTGCTGTCAAGGTTGTGCAGAACAAGAAATGCTTATTTACTGCTGATGGGAGTGTAAACTAGTTCAGCAAGTGTCAAAAGCAGTTTGGCAATTTCTGAAATAATTTAAAATAGAATTACCATTTGACCTAGCGATCCAAATATTGGGTATATACTCAAAGGGACATAAATCATTCTACTATAAAGACACATGCACACATATATTCATCATAGCACTATTTACAAAAGCAAAAACACGGAATCAATCTAAATGCCCATTAATGATAGACTAGATAAAAAAAATATCGTGCATATACACCGCGGAATGCTATGCAGCTATGAAAAAGAATGAGATCGTGTCCTTTGCGGCAACATGGATGAAGCTGGAGTCCATGATCCTAAGCAAACTGATGCAGGAACAGAAAACCAAATACTGCATAGTCTCACTTATAAGTGGGAGCTAAACATTGAGTAAATATGGATATAAAGAAGGGAACAACTGACCCTGGGACCTACCTGAGGGTGGAACATGAGAGGAGGGTAACAATCAAAAAACTACCTATTAGGTACTATGTTTATTACCTGGGTGAAAAAATTGTACATTAAACCCCCATGCAATTCACCTATATAACAAACCTGCATGTATACCTCTGAAAATAAAATAAAAGTAAAACAAAAAGAAATTGACATAGCCTCATTGACTTGTAGGGAAAATATTAAGTAGTCAAATATGCATAATGAGAATCTCAAAAAAGAGAAAATATATGAGGACCATAAAAAAAGAAATTTCCAAATTTGATGGGAAATAGCAATCCACATATTTAGAATACTTACAAATCTCAGGCAGGATAAATGCATACATACAAATAGACAAATGAAAGTAAGGACATCACAGTAAAATTGTGGAAAACAAAACACAGTCAGGGGATAGTGGGAGGTGGGGATGTTCAACAGGTACAAAAAATATAAAGAGTGAATAAGACCTAGTATTTGATAGCACAACAGGGTAGCTATAGTAAAGAATAATTTAATGGCACATTTAAAAACAACCAAAGGAGTATAATTGAACTGTTTGTAACACAAAGAATAAATGCCTAAAGGGATGAATACACCATTTTCCATAATGTGATTATTATACATTGCATACCTGCATCAAAATATCTCACGTACCTCATAAATATATACACCTACTATGTACCCACAAAAATTAGAAGAATTTAAAACTATCTTTAAGTAAGAAAAGTTTGAAAAACACACAGATATCTATATGAATATAGATCAGAATAACTGCCCATGACTTTGCTATTATAAATAGTACTGCAATAAACATACGTGTGCATGTGTCTTTATAGTAGAATGATTTATATTCCTTTGAGTATATACCCAGTAATGGGATTGCTGGGTCAAATGGTATTTCTAGTTCTAGATCCTTGAGGAATCTCCATACTGTCTTCCACAATGGTTGAACTAATTTACATTCCCACCAACAATGTAAAAGCATTCCTATTTCTCCACAGTCTCGTCAGCAACTACTGTTCTTAACTTTTTAATAATCACTGTTCTGACTGGTGTGAGATGATATCTCATTGTGGTTTTGACTTGCATTTCTTTAATGATCAGTGATGCTGAGCTTTTTTTACATATGTTTGTTGGCCACTTAAATGTCTTCTTTTGAGAAGTGTCTGTTCATATCCTTTGCCTACTTTTTGATGCGGTTGTTTGCTTTTTTCTTGTAAATTTGTTTGAGTTCTTTGTAAATTTTGGATATTAGACTTTGTCAGATGTATAGATTGCAAAATTTTTCTCCCATTCTGTAGGTTGCCTTGCCTGTTCACTCTGATGTTAGTTTCTTCTGCTGTGCAGAAGAAGCTCTTTAGTTTAATTAGATCCCATTTGTCAATTTTGGCTTTTGTTGCAATTGCTTTGGTGTTTTCATCATGAAGTCTTTGCTCATGCCTATGTCCTGAATGGTATTGCCTAGGTTTTCTTCTAGCGTTCCAACCCATATGCCTATCAGTGATAGACTGGTTAAAGAAAATGTGGTACATATACACCATGGAATAATCTGCAGCCATTAAAAAATGAGATCATGTGCTTTTTAGGGACATGGATGAAGCTGGAAGCCATCATCCTCAGCAAACTAACACAGGAAAACAAACAAACACCACGTGTTCTCACTCATAAGTGGGAGGTGAACAATGAGAACACAGGAACACAGGGAGGGGAACAACACACACCAGGGCATGTTGAGGGGTGGGAGGCGAGGGGAGGGCACTTAGATGATGAGTCAATAGGTGCAACAAACCACCATGGTACACGTATACCTAGGTAACAAACCTGCACGTTCTGCACATGTATCCAGAACTTAACGTAAAAATAGAAAAAAAGGAAAAAATTGTGAAAATTTATAGAACAGTGACACAAAATAGAAACATATTAATTTAAGATACTATGATTTTACATTAAATGTCCAGTATTCTTTGCTTTTCCAGTCTTTTTATGATCTCTAGCTCAATTTCTCAAAGGCCTTATGAGTTTACAGATCTAAATTAAGAATTACCCATTTGTCCATTAAATCTTTGAAAGCTGCATTGTTTAGGTTTCAGCTGAAGTAATGTTACATAAAAATAATCCAAATTCAGTGGTTTTCCACAATACGCATTTATTTCCTTCTCATGGATGTGCAAGTAGGCTACAGTTCTGTTAGGCTTGGCTGTAATCAGCTGAAGTCATCTTCTGGATGACATTTGGGTTCAAAACTGCTTCACGTGTCTACCTATAATTTTTATTACTTAACCTGCTGTACTTGCTGTTTCTCTTGTATAATATTAAGTAGAAGTGGTGATAGCAAGTTATCTTTGCATGATTCACTATCTCAGAGGGATAAAATTCCATTTTTTGCCATTAAGTATAACATCTTTTGTAGGAACTCTTTATCAGTATAAACAAGTTCCTTTCCTCCTTAGTTTGCTAGAGTTTCTATTACAGATGGTGAAATAGATAAAGAGCTTTATGACGTATGTTGAAATGGTTTCGTCATTTGTTTTCTGCTGATAATATAGTGAATTGTATTACATATTATTATTTTTTGATGTTGGACCAAACTAGCACTCATGGAATAACTCAAATGTTCATATTTTATATAAATTATAAAATTCAATTTACTATCGTTTGAAGTAGAATTTGTGTTAATAATGGGAGATTAGTCTGAAATTTTTGCTTCTTTTCAGGTTATTGTCAGATTTTGACATCAGATACATGCTGGCCACATGAAATGAGTTGGAAAGTATTGTCTTTCTTCAATGTGCGTATAATAAGCTCTTATTAAAAATATGTGTATATACACGTATATATATATTCTGAGGTTTCAGAAGGTGGACATTACTTAATTTTAAAAACTTTGGAAGTACCTAAAACGCAGGCATCTGAGCCTTATGATCTATTTGTAAAAACATTTTAAATGCAATTTTGATTTATTTAATAAAATGTGCTTAGATTTTCTTCTAAAAAAAGAATAACTGTCAATTTCTCATCAGAAAAAAATAACAAACCGCAAAGAAATAGAATGGCACTTTAAAGTACTGAAAGAAGAAAAATATCAATTTAAAATTTTATAACTATCAAACCTATCTTTCTAAATAAAGCTTTAAAAATGAACAAAAACTTTCCAGAGTCAAATCATAACCTTTAAAAAAAAAAAAAAAAAGAACAAGAAATAAGAGGACTCATTGCCAGAAAAATTCTTCCCTACCCAATATTTTAAACATTATTTAAAATAAGAGGAAATACTATCAAATAGAAACATAGGCCTACATGATGAAAACAAATGTATATTTTAGATATTGAATATCTAAAAATATACAATATATAAGAAGAAATATATCTTTTAGACATTGTATATCTAAAAGATCATTTTATTTTCTTACTTATTTTAAAATATATATGGCTGTTTAATGCAAAATAGTGACAACATATTATGGAGTTTATAAAATACATTGAAGTTAAATATGTGATAATAGCACAAAAGTTGGAAGCAGAATAAATCAACGTACGCTGTTTTAAGTTTCTTAAATTTTGTTGTAATTTCTAAAAATGCTATATTAACTTGGTGAAAAATTAAGAATGGACACTATTGATATTTTGAGCTAACAATAAAAATATAAACCAAACACCAGTCGGCTAAAATGTTATTAAATGAGATAGAATTATAAAAATAAATGCTTCATTTAATAAAAAGATGACAAAAATATGAAACAATTAAAGAACACATAGAACAATAAAAATAGATTGTATACTTAAACCAACAGTATCAATAATTATTTGAAATACGAATAAACTAAAACTCTCCCACCGCCAAAAATGCAGCAGATATTGACAAGTCAAATAAAAAAGCAAGACTCAACTATGCTGTTTCTGAGAGATAAGCTATAAATACAGCACTAAATAGTAAGACATAAAGTAAAGAAAAAGATATACTGTGAAAACTCTAATCGGATTTTTAAATGACAGTTTTAAATAATTTCAACCATTTGTGTTTTAGAGCAGAAAAAATTACCATAGATAAAGGCATTCATAAAATAACCAGCTAATCAAGAGAACATAACTGTCCTAAATGTACATAAATGTAATAACAAAGAATTGAATTATACAATACAAAAACTGAAAGAACTAAAGGAAGAATTAAATCACAAAAACGTGGGAGATGTAATATATTCTCTTAGTAACTGACAAAACAATTATTTTTATAAAAATCAGTACCTGGTGTCTGTGTGTGTATCAACCTTTATAGAACATTAGATCATTAGAACTGCCATGACAAAACAGAGATTTTTTCCAATCCAATGTACATAGAAGATTCATCAAGGTAGTTCATATGCCAGCCTATAAATTAAGCTTGATTACATGTTTTCAAAACGGAAATACATAGCAAATGTTCTTTCAGGAAAAAATGTAATTAAATTTGAAATCAATAAAAAATAAGATACCCAAAACATCTCCCAATATGTGTATTAAGCAACACACCTACAAACTGAATCAGGGAAAAGCATTCTACCTTCACTTCACACTATGAACAAAAATTAATTTTATATAGTTTATAGATTAAATGTAAGGACCAAACATATAAAGCTTCTAGGGAGAAACAACTAGGGTAGACAGAAACAGCTTTTACAGAACAGAGAAAAGAAAACTCACATGAGAAGCAATCGATAAATTTGGCTTCTTCTGTCTCAGAGAAGAACAATAATTGACAGAGTGATAAATTTGGCTTCTTCTGAGAGAGAAGAGGTATATCCTATATACACACACACACACACACACATATATATATGTATGTGTGTATGTATAAAATATATGAGCTATGTATCTCTCATAGATGTATATAGATTAATATATATATGAGATATAAATGTCTCATATACATAAGATATATATGAGGTATATAAAGCAGATTAGAGTCAAGAAGGTACAATTACATATATATCTCCTATATGAGATATATTTCACATATATGCATATCTCATTTATATCTCATATATGTATATCTCATATATTAAAAATATATATCTCATATATATGTCCTATGTCATATATCTCATATCTCATATATATATATGTCCTATGTTAAATATATGTATAAATATATGACAAAGAACATGTGTTGACACTTTTAGGCATCAAAGAAATGTAAATTAAAACTAAAGCAATATTATTATAAACCCATTCCATATGTGTGAATACTAGAATGCCTAAAATGTAAAGACGGGCATGACCAAATGCCAACAGTGATATGGAACAAAGTACATTTCTTGTGAGTGTAAAATGTTGGAATCACTTGGGAAAACAGCTTGGCAGTAATTCATAAATTTAAAGGTATGACTAACCTGTGTTTGTGATATAGCAATTTCACTTCTAGATCTATAGTTAGAAAATTAAATAAAATACAGTTCACAAAAAAGACTTTTGACAAAAATCTTCCTAACAGTTTAATTAACATAGACTCAAAATGGAAATAGTTCATCAATTGGAAAATGTATAAACACATTGTTGAAAATTCTAATAATAGCATATTATTACTTAGCAATGAACAGAATAAAGAAAAGAATAAACAGAATAAAGAAAAGAATAAAGAAAAGAATAATGAGATATTCATAAGTGATAAAATATATCATGGAAATTTCATAGATGTGCTAATCCAAGAAGCAACATATCAAAGAATACATACCATATGATACATTTATATGAACTTCTAGAAAAGACACAACTAATCTTTGGTGATAGAAATCAGAGCACTGGTTGCTTCCAAGAAAGTGGGATGTAAACAGTGAAGGGGTAGATTACTTTCTTAAGTTAAATGTTTCATATCTTAATATACTTCTGGATGACACATGTGTTTAGATTTGTAAAAACTTATAAAAACTGTATAATTAAACTCTGTGCATTTATTTCACTGTGTGAATATTACAGAAGGAGGAGGAGCAGGAGGAAGAGGAGAAGAAGAAATGGTTATCTTTTTTTTGCTTTCCCCTTCGCCCTTCAATTTCCTGGTTGTATTCCTTCAAATCTTTCTCTCCCATGAACTCAACTTAATTCTTGTGCTTTTAAAAATGTGACCTAGAACTTGCCTTTTAAAAGAATAAAATGCCCTTTTTTTCTCCCAGACATGATTATACATTTAGAACTGATACCTATTTAATATTTACATATTTTTTGCTTAATATGCCATTTTATTTTTTAACAAATACAAGGATTTACACAGACATATTTCTTTAACTTCAATCAGAATGTTTACTCGAATTTTAATTTTAACTTTTTAATGCGATTCTAAAAAAAGTAAAAAAAAGTCCTCAGCTGGAGGCATCATGCTACCTAACTTCAAACTATACTACAAGGCTACAGTAACCAAAACAGCATGGTACTGGTACCAAAACAGAGATATAGACCAATGGAACAGAACAGAGCTCTCAGAAATAATACCACACATCTACAACCATCTGATCTTTGACAAACCTGACAAAAACAAGAAATGGGGAACAGATTCCCTATTTAATAAATGGTGCTGGGAAAACTGGCTAGCCATATGTAGAAAGCTGAAACTGGATCCCTTCCTTACACCTTATACAAAAATTAATTCAAGATGGATTAAAGACTTAAATGTTAGACCTAAAACCATAAAAACCTTAGAAGAAAATCTAGGCAATACCATTCAGGACATAGGCATGGGCAAGGACTTCATGTCTAAAACACCAAAAGCAATGGCAACAAAAGCCAAAATTGACAAATGGGATCTAATTAAACTAAAGAGCTTCTGCACAGCAAAAGAAACTACCATCAGAGTGAACAGGCAACCTACAAAATGGGAGAAAATTTTCGCAATCTACTCATCTGACAAAGGGCTAATATCCAGAATCTACAAAGAACTCAAACAAATTTACAAGTAAAAAACAAATAAACCCATCAACAAGTGGGTGAAGGATATGAGCAGACACTTCTCAAAAGCAGACATTTTTGCAGCCAACAGACACATGAAAAAATGCTCATCATCACTGGCCATCAGAGAAATGCAAATCAAAACCACAATGAGATACCATCTCACACCAGTTAGAATGGCAATCATTAAAAAGTCAGGAAACAACAGGCGCTGGAGAGGATGTGGAGAAATAGGAACACTTTTACACTGTTGGTGGGACTGTAAACTAGTTCAACCACTGTGGAAGACAGTGTGGCGATTCCTCAGGGATCTAGAACTAGAAATACCATTTGACCCAGCCATCCCATTACTGGGCATATACCCAAAGGATTATAAATCATGCTGCTATAAAGACACATGCACATGTATGTATATTGCAGCACTATTCACAATAGCAAAGACTTGGAACCAACCCAAATGTCCAACAATGATAGACTGGATTAAGAAAATTTTGGCACATATACACCATGGAATACTATGCAGCCATAAAAAGGATGAATTCATGTCCTTTCTAGGGTCATGGATGAAGCTGGAAACCATCATTCTCAGCAAACTATCGCAAGGACAGAAAACCAAACACCGCATGTTTTCACTCATAGGTGGCAACTGAACAATGCAAACACTTGGACACAGGAAGGGGAACATCATACACCGAGGCCTGTTGTGGGGTGGGGGGAGGGGGGAGGGATAGCATTAGGAGATATACCTAATGTAAATGACGAGTTAATGGGTGCAGCACACCAACATGGCACATGTATACATATGTAACAAACCTGCATGCTGTGCACGTGTACCCTAGAACTTAAAGTATAATAAATAAATAAATAAATAAATAAATAAATAAATAAGTAAATTAAAGTCCTTTCACATTCTCTCCAGATTATATTTTAAACCCATAAAAGAAAATCTGTCTCATAATGAAATAGTAATATGTTGATTTTAATAGAAAGTGCTATTGTGGTATTAGAGCCCCATATTAATTACTAGAACTTTCAAGCCACTGTTTTTTTTTTCTTTGTTTTATAATATCCATCAATCAAGACCACCCTAAAAGTGGAAGGATTTCCTGTGTCAGGTACCCAGCCACTAGATGGGCCATGACTGTGTTAGGGGGAAAGAGATGCAGATTACTTTTTTCCTTTATACACAGAGACACACAAACACATTTCTAAAAGAGGGCTAATTATAAAGCTACATTTAGACAACAAATGATGCATTGGAAGTAGATTAAAGCATTACTGAATTTATAGCAAATATATTTACAAATGTAAGTCAAGTATCTTTTAGTTTAGAATCAAGAAGGTATAATTCAACAAAGTATTATGTAAAATATTATATGAAAGACATGCACTTACGATAACTTAACCCTCATGTAAGGACAAATATATATTGAACAAGAAAAATATATTTTAATATTCTCAGATTAAAAAAGAGTGAAAGAGACTCTCCCCTCATTTCTTAGAGTGCTTGTTTTAGAAAATCAGTAATTGTATATATTCTTCCTCTACCCATCTGAGACACCTGTAAATATTTTAAAAAGCTAAGTAAGCATCTTGTGAGCTTTACAAAGTAGGGATGTGTTTTTCCAGGACTCAGGAACTATTTCTTTGAACTACAGTCATCAAGAAATGTAGTACCCCTATCTCCCAATTTGCGTGAGAGGACAAGAGCCTAGTTTCAGGTGGTGCCTGATTTCAAGCTGCAAACCCATCTTCTTTCATAGACATAATAAATTTATTCTTCCTTTAGATACAAGAAATTAGCAAACACAGGTAGTTATCCTAATTAGCAAGTGAATTGAGGATGAACTATGTGTGAAAAATGATGCTGTCAAGTCCTCTTATTTGAGGACTAGTTATTGTTTATCTTAAGAAATGTACGCAATGGGTTGTATATGCTTGACTATGTGAAACAGTAAGATTTCCTTCTGTCTTTGGAACCTCTTTAGCAGATTTCCAATGATGTGCATCACATTCTGGTTTAATGCTTATTCAGTAATAAAACTGTTTTCTTTCTTTGCTACTTTTGCACAGAGGTTTTCTGGGTTGGCAGATATTTTGTTTTTACTTATACTTCCTCAACACTCTCCACCCCAGCTTTCTGTACTTCTCACAAAATGGTGGACTAAAGGTATCCAGCAGAATTGGAGTTTACATATGTAAGGTGTAGAGATAAATTGAAATTTTCTGTAAGCCTCTAAGTTCCAATCCCAGATTCCCAGGTAAGAATAAATGCCTTGCAAAATGGTTTTACTTCATGATCACTCTCTTGATTTTATACAGATAAATTAAGTTTCAGGATGCTTAAATAATGACTCTATGGATACTTTAGAATTTCATGGAAATAAATGAAATACTAAGCATACTTTATATTTTTTAATGATTTGGCACAAATCCATTGCAGTTTTAAATGTTTTATATAAAAGCATTTCGGTGTGTCTCTAAATGCTATGATTCCTCATTAAAAATATGATTATTTGCCTATAATCCTAGTGACAGACTTTTCAGTCTGACACATACTAAATCATCTAAATCTGAAGGTTTTCTTTCAGAGTTAAATTTTATTCCGTGAATAAACTGTACCATAATAATATTGCTTCACAGAACATTATAGAAAACTTTATGCTTTGTCTGAGAGTACTCTCAGGAATGAATAAACTTGGTTTATCAGAGGCATATAGATAGTGAATGATAAGTTCACCTCCAAAAGCATCCATGACCTCTTTCAGCTAACACCAGAAGATGACATGAATCCTATAATTTTATACTTTAAGAAGGTCTTAGAAATAATATATTTTTGTTTGGCTGAAAATCTGGGGCTCAACATGGTTAAATTCTGTAAGAAAAAAACAGCCTTAAATTTACAGAAGCAATTTTTCTAGACTTGGTTTACAAAATATTTCTCTGCATCACCTCCCTGCCAAGATTTTGTTGAAGTTATATAACTAAATGGCAGTATCTCCAAGCTAAGGAATATAATTTGTATCCATAGGTGACAAAAATCACATAGCAAAAAATATCAGTGAACTTGATTTCAGAAGTCATGTACTTGTTCTGCCTTTATGACTAAGAATTATTGTGGCCCTGTGAAGGTAATTTCATCTAATGCATCTTTATTGCTTCATGTGTAAAATAAAACATTGCACCAGAAGTACTTTTCAATTGTATGTTTTTAAAAGCATCCTTGAGATGTTCCAAATTAGTAGAATATCAAAGATTGGGAGAAAACAGCTTAAAGTGATGGAAATATAAGCATAAACTGTAGTGTGATGACTCTTTGTCCAAGTGCCATTTCTGGCTAATCAAAGGAATGCTAATTTTCCTTTGACTGTTTTGTTATTGTTGCACCCACTCAGATACTAATCTAAGAATCTAATTATGAGTCTTTTTACAAAATTTTTAATATATTTGACCTTTGCAATTTTTTTCTACCTTAATTTTTCAAGAGAAAGTCACTGAATTTATAAATTAGCATAAGGACACGTGCAATTGAATGTGCTTTTCCATTTTCAATGACCTTTTTTTGGCGAGTGCATTAAAATACGTTGTCTGTGATAGCCCAGGAGCTGCTCAAGAGAGTTAGTGAGTCTAGGGATTTCTGAAAGGTCATAAATTGTATTGCTATTCATTTGAGAGCTTTTTCTTTCTTACTTTAAATCTGCTCCATAAAAGTCATTATTACTAGGTGCTTAGTCAATAGATTCATTTAAACAGATTAGGATCTTCAGATCCAAATTATTTACCATTGTAATTGAAATCATTTTATCATTAAGATTATTTGAGAAAGTTCATTTCAAGTTAAGGAAAATAATCCCAATAAGGGAAGACATGTCCAGGAGAGTACAGTTGAAACAAGTCAACTGTACTAACTGTACTCTAAACAAGTTGACTTGTTTCAACTGTACTCTCACTGGATCTAATCCTTTTCATATTTTGCCTAATACAACCCAAAGGTATTAATTTGATTGTGCTTCTTTTTAGTTAAATTGACTGCTTGATTGGGTTATCTACAGTTTTAAAGACTCACGCAGCATAGAATACTTACTCAAGTATCAGTTGCCAAGGGAGGTGCTATAACATTAATGTCATACTTTACATACTTGCTCCATGACATCATAGTATGCTGGACTCATTTACTTCTTTGTAAACTAAAATGTCAACTGTGGTTAATTTTGGGTAGGGGACGTGTGAAGATTCAATTTCTTGTTTTTATTTTTCTTATTATTTTATTTATTTTACAATGCAAACATACTACTGTTGTTTGTGCATATGTGTGTGAGTGTGTGCATGTGTGCACAGTGTGCCAATTGGGTAAGAACTTTGTCTCTTTAACTCTCCTGATCCTATAGGGTGAGATGGCATTTCCTTACAAGTAAAGGAATTGGAATCCATGTGTCTGCAAAACTACTGTTTACTAAAGCAGGTGTTTTTAGTCCTCAGAAACCTTTCCTACAAAACTGTTCAAAATGGCACAAAAAAATTGAAAAGAAACCTAAAGAGTATTAATTTGTGCTCCATCTTTGAGGAATGTATTAAGGAGTTTATTTCTGGCATAAGCAATCTGTCCCTGCACAACTTCTATTAACAAAGTGCTGTTTAAGAGTATTCCTAATAGTTTCCCATCGTAAGAAGACACTAAGGTAACACAAATTTCCAAAAAGAATATGGATTAATTTTACATATTTTATTAATTGTATTCTTTGGTGGGAAAACAAATCTTCATTGTTTAAAAATATATTCAGTCAACAAAGCCATTCTTAGGAATAAAATGACCACTAAGTAGTGAAAAAAATGTGGAAGGTGTGTGACTCAGTTTCCTGAATGTATTCCCCAGATCCTTATGATTTTATTCCTGTGAAAGTCTGAAAGTTAGCATGAGGCTTAGCCACAGACAGAAACATCATTTCAATGACCGAAACCAGCTTTTTGCTACATAAATAAATTTAAATAAATACTTTACATGTGAATGGAAAATTATCTACATACGCCAGAGCTGGTCACCAATGAAAGAGTTATTGCTGTCACAGTGGATCACTCTCAAAAGGGTAGTTATTGTATGTTGGATCAATTCAGAACTTCAAAAAACCTATCTTAAAATTTATGAAAACAGTCTGTTTATAGTATCATTTTCCTAAACTGGTATGTCTTCCTAAATATCTGCATTGTGGGAATAGAAAAATAATATCTATTTGATTATTTAGAACTTACATGTGAAGAGTCTTTTCCATATTGATATCCTTTTGCCAAATTAAAGGCAGAATTCAGAAAAAATAAGTATATTATTTGTTTATATTGTGAAATTGTGCATATATATGCACTGTCTTTTCATGATAAATATGGAAATGAATTAAATGTATTTAAAGATATGAAATCCTAGAAAATGTGCTTCAGGAACTTTGAAGATGAAGATTTTTCATGATTGAGTGCATTCATTCCTAGGGAAAAGAACTTATATATGTAATCATGAAGAAAATAGGAATATATACAAATTATGCACACTAAATAGTGCTTTTCAGACGAAGGAAGAACAATAAATATTTGATAAAAATGCAAATATAAAGCCAGGCAAGGTGCAATTTCAAAATAATTTTTATACTATGTAGTTCACCTCAAGAATTAGCCTTTTAGCAAACCATCCTCCCATTAGAAATGGGGGTAGCTGTGGAGGAATGTTAGGAATAGGGAGAAATGAAATAGAT
This sequence comes from Homo sapiens, assembly GCF_000001405.40. NCBI lineage: Eukaryota > Metazoa > Chordata > Mammalia > Primates > Hominidae > Homo > Homo sapiens. Next base: position 57,332,253 of record NC_000002.12, read on the forward strand.
TAAAAGAAATTATTTATTTATGAAAAATGAGTTACTTCTGCATTTTCCCCCTCCAAAATAATCTTGTGGGTTAGATTTCTGCTGTTTTACTGCAGAAGAGAATGCCTGATAATTTTAATTGTGTATTAAGTACGATGTTGCAACGAATGCTACATTATTTAACTAATTACTCCTGACACAAACCAAGTTTTGAATGCTAATTATGTTTTTATTTTAATGGTGCTTTTGAATTGAAAATAGCGATCTTTATTTAGCTCAGACTCAATGGGTGATGGGAGAGATCATGAATTGTATTTTAAGGCAATGTTGCAACGACCACATGTAATGTCTAAGATACAGTGGGTGAGTTTCCTTATGTTTGGTTTTGTTTTAATACTATTAAACCATTAAATTATAATGATGAGTATGCTAGATGCAAGTTAAATGTTCACACATGATTAAGTTCCATGTCAAACTATGTCAATAAATACCTGGTCAGGTAGAAAATGACAAATATTTCCATTTTAATGAATTTAAGGCCTGAATTTTAAGCTGATATTCTCTTGCCCACTCTCACATTGCAAGCCTTACACATGTTTACTTTAGAACCGCTTTGGGTAAAAGTGCAAACTTAGCTTCTTTAGACTCTGCCATTTCATTTATTGCCCTTACTTTCTCCTTCCCATACATTGCTGGCTCTCTCTCTCTCTCTTTCTCTGCCTCTATCTGTCTCTCTGTCTCTCTCTCTTCCTCTTTCTCTCTCTCCCTACCCCTTCTACATATCTTTTTGGTCTTGAATACAGATATTAATATACATTTGCTAAAGAGTATTATCATTAATTTGTAATATCTTAAAAAACTATTTCATGGAAAATTTTAAAGTCATACAAGAAACATATATCTAAAATATATCTAAAGATGTATTTATCTAATGGTAAAGCTGAGATTTAAGAAGACATTTGGTTAGCAATTTTATAATAGAAAAAATAAATCTTTAATAGAGAAAACATATTTTAAAATTTTATTCATACATTATTTAAAATTAAATACTGGCATATCGTGTTGAGATTAGGATTGTTATTACATTTGGTTTTTAATGAATTCCTTGGATGGAAAAGTATTCATTAACTGGTAGAGAGAACAGAGAAGATGAATAAATGCTTTTGTTTAATGATGATGTAATCTCAAAGTTTTGTGAGGTAATTTAAAATTGAGTCATCTTCACAAGTATTTAAACATAGCCTGAGTTAATGTTAAGCTAAATATATATGTATTTGATTAAGATGATTTGTAAGATAGCTGAGTTCTGAATACTACTCTTTAAGACCTACCCAGTCAACTGCAGTACTTTTTAAAAATTCTCTACTTAAGAAAATTTAATGAACATTATTAAAATACAAATAAGCTACACTGGTCAGGAGATCGAGACCATCCTGGCCACCATGGTGAAACCCCGTCTCTACTAAAAATACAAAAATTAACTGGGTGTGATGGCACGTGCCTGTAATCCCAGCTACTCGGAAGGCCGAGGCAGGAGAATGGCTTGAACCTGGGAGGTGGAGATTGCAGTGAGCCAAGATCGTGCCATTGCACTCCAGCAGTGAGACTCTGTCTCAAAAAAAAATAAAAGAAAAAATAAAAGAAATTACAAAAAACTATGCTAATCACCCAGTATAAAACAAATGCTCAATAATTATTTAAAGTTTAGTTATTTTAAAATACTGTAGAAAAAAATTATAGAGATTATAGCTTCTGTAGTCAAGATTAAAAAAAGCTATCATCACTGAGAGTGCAGTTATTACAGAGAAAATATAAGAAATTAATAATTTCTTAACTTTTAAAAAATGTTTATTTATTTCAAGTATCTGGTCACTTTCCATGTGTAATAAAATGTTTTAAAAATTAAATTAATTTTTTTAACTTTTTTTTTGTCCCCCAGGCTGGAGTGCAATGGCGCGATCTCGGCTCACTGCAACCTCCGCCTCCCGGGTTCAAGCGATTCTCCTGCCTCAGCCTCCTGAGTAGCTGGGATTACAGGTGCCTGCCATCATGCCTGGCTAATTTTTGTATTTTTAGTAGAGATGGGGTTTCACCATGTTGGCCAGGCTGGTCTTGAATTCCTGACTTCAGGTGATCCACCCGCCTCGGCCTCCCAAAGTGCTGGAATTACAGGCATGAGCTACCGCACCCAGCCTTAAATTAAGTTCTTATGCAAACTTGATATTTTTTAATTTTGTATAAACATTTGTTTTCTTGGTCAATGTATTTTCATTTAGAGAATATATATAAATGGAACTATTCATATATCACTAATTACATTACTAACATACAAAATAATTTTATTGCCTTTTATTTTTAAATAGAAATTCATCCCAGTTAGGTAGGGCTCACCTGTAGCCCCAGCTACTCAGAAGACTGAAGCTCACTTGAGCCCAGCAATTTGAGTCAAGCCTGGGCAATATATAGCAAGACCCCATCCCTACAAAACACTAAAAATTAAAAAATATTAATCTTGGTGATATTTTTATGTATATTATTTTAAAACATCAGTGTTATGTGGGTTATTTAATAAGATTTCATTGGTGGTAATAATTATTAAAACTTATTATAAAAAACCAATAACAAACACAATGTGTATCAAAACTAAAACAAGTGTAATCCTCAAATATTCTCAGTACAGTAAGGAGACAAAGACATGAGAGTTAAAATAATGGACCGTGATGTACCTAGCACTTCTCAGTGTTCCTTGTTTCTCTCACATCTGTAAAATCTAGAAATTTGGAGATGCTGAAGTTACTAATAATTTTAACTTCAAATTCTTTTACCTTCCATGCCAAATTATTGAGTCAAGGTAACAACAGCAATGAGCATGGCTAACGATTATTGAGTGCTTACCTAGCTAATCTAGTGGGGAGGTGGAGAACTTTTGTGTCTAGCTCAGGGATTGTAAATGCACCAATCAGAACCCTGTCAAAACAGACCAATCAGCTCTCTGTAAAGTGGACCAATCGGCTCTCCGTAAAATGGACCAATCAGCAGGATGTGGGTGGGGCCAGATAAGAGAATAAAAGCAGGCTGCCTGAGCCAGCAGTGGCAGCCCGCTGGGGTCCCCTTCCACACTGTGGAAGCTTTGTTCTTTCGGGGTCCCCTTCCATACTGTGGAAGCTTTGTTCTTTCACTCTTTGCAATAAATCTTGCTGCTGCTCACTCTTTGGGTCCACACTGCCTTTATGAGCTGTAACACTCACCGCGAAGGTCTGCAGCTTCACTCCTGAAGCCAGCGAGACCATGAACCCACCCACCGGGAGGAACGAATAACTCCAGATGCACCGCCTTAAGAGCTATAACACTCACCGCAAAGGTCTGCAGCTTCACTCCTGAGCCAGCGAGACCACAAACCCACCAGAAGGAAGGAACTCCTAACACATCTGAACATCAGAAGGAACAAACTCCGGACATGCCGCCTTTAAGAACTGTAACACTCACCGCGAGGGTCCGTGGCTTCATTCTTGAGGTCAGTGAGACCAAGAACCCACCAATTCCAGACACAACATGACTTAATTGTTTTAATCCCCCAAATACTCCTATTCTTAGATATTATTATTTTATGAATTAGAAATTAAGGTACAAAATTATTTTAAATAAATTTTTATTTATACTCGATGCATAGTGATTGTACATACTTACGGGGCAAATATGATGTTCAATGAATGTGTACATAGCATAACAATCAAATCAGGATAATTACTGTATCCATACATCTCAGTCCATTTGTGTTTCTATAAAGGAATACCTGAGGCTTGGTAATTTATAGGGAAAAAGGCTTATTTGACTTCCAAGTCTGATGTCTGGAAATGTTAAGATTGGACATCTGCATCTGGCAAGGGCCACAGGCTGCTTTCACTCTTGGTGGAAGGGGATGGAGAGCCAGAGCCACCCTCTACAGAGATCCAATGGTGAGAGAGAAAGGGTGGTGGAGGAGGTGTCAAGCTCATTTTAACTATTTTACTAACAGAGCAAGAACTCACTTATTACTTTTACGAAAGCACCAAGCCATTCTTGAGGCATTCATCCCCATACCTCCAAATATCTCTCATTAGGTTCCACGGAACTTCATCATTGGGGATCAAATTTCAACATGAGGTCTGGAGGGGTCAGAAAATAGCACCATCATTTTAAACATTTATTATTTATCTGTGATGACAGCATTCAAAATGTTCTCTTCTGGCTACCTTGAGAGGGATGCGGCAAATTATGATTTACAGAAGTCCTACCAGAAAACACTATTTTAGCCAGTGTTAAACTTGAATTTCAAAATTACTAGTTGTATGGAGTAGAAATCAGCAAACTATGGCCCATCGGTTAAATCTGGTCTGCTGCCTGTGTTTGTACAATCCACGAATTAAAAATTGTTGAAAAATAAAAGGGAAATATCATATGCCATGTAAAAATTTTATGGAATTAATATTTCACTGTATATAAATAGACTATTCATTTATCTCTCACCTATGGCTTCTTTCACACTGTAACTGGAGTTGAGTAGTTGCACCAGAAAACGTAATACCCACAAACTTAATATATTTACCATCTAGTTGTTTGCAGAAAAATGTTTGGTTACCCCAGCACAGAGAATGCATTAACAAAGATAACTTGGAATATATCAAAAATGTCTGGACCAGGTCCTGGCTCTTAAAGAACAATAACCTGAGATAATTAATGGCAAAATAAATGTGACAAATAGCAATGCTATACATGGAGAAGTTAAACTCATAGAGAAAGACAGGATCCCTATGATGAGTTGAGAAATGAATGAGATGTTACACATGGAGTGATGACTACATGTATTGTCCTTTCCCCTTTTCCAAACCTCCAAAATGTATGAGAGCATAACTCCATACAGACAAAAAAAATGAGAGAAGATAATAGCTGATAAGAATCAACAAAATTTTTGTAAATGGAAAGTGATTTTCAGTGATTATCACTACAATCAAGATGAAACCATGTGTCTGAAGCATAATGGAGAATAAAGAGGTAGGATGGCACCCCGGGAAACTATTTGAAAGTACATGTGCAGTGTTAAGGATAAACAAAGACTCAGATTTCTCAATCATGAAGATTTGACTCTACACTATGAACACAGAGCCCTCAAAATGGAGGTACTAGACAAATGCAAAATAAATACCAAATAGATATTTCAGGATGGTAATCATAAATACCAAATATGGCCTCTAAATACTTTCAGAAGTAAGCATTGTAGGCTAACCTTACATTTTTTCACTCCTTGGTGAAATTTTCAAATGTCTAGTTGTTTTAACTAGTTGCCTTATTATTTCTTCATTCATTTGCCCCCAACCTAATAGATAATATGCATATATTTATGACTAAATATTTAAAGATAAGAATGAAAACTATGTAATATGTTTTATTCTTCTTTTTTTTTTTTTTTTTTTAGACAGAGTCTCACTCTTGTTGTCCAGGCTGGAGTGCAATGGCACAATCTCAGCTCACTGCAACCTCCACCTCCCAGGTTCAAGCGATTCTCCTGCCTCAGCCTCCCAGGTAGCTGGGATTATAGGCATGTGCCACCATGCCCAGCTAATTTTAGTATTTTTAGTAGATATGGGGTTTCACTATGTTGGCCAAGCTGGTCTCGAACTCCTGACCTAAGGTGATCCACCCACCTTGACTTCCCAAAATGCTGGGATTACAGGCATGAGCCACCACACCCAGCCATGTTTCATTCTTAGTCTATCAGTTTAAAAATATTGTCACGGCTGCAGTAGAAGCAGAGGAAGAATGCCTATCACTCAGAGATGGAGGACATGGATTGCCTGTCTTTGCAGAGTCTAAGAGTGTTTTCTAAGATGCATACAGAGTAGCTATACTGTATTACACGGGAGAAATTTCAGAAATGTTTACAGCAGAAAATGACGTGTGCCTCTTAGGCTACCAAAGGCATAGGCTAGTGTTGGCATTGTTTTTTAGCTACTTAGCATGCTGCCTTCTATTCTAACTGCACCTCAATTTTCTTTTTTTGAGACAGAGTCTCCCACAGTTGTCCAGGCTGGAGTGGAGTGATACAATCTTGGCTCACTGCAACCTCCGCCTCCCGGGTTCAAGCAGTTCTCTTGCCTCAGCCTCTCAAATAGCTGGGATTACAGGCATGCACCACCGTGCCCAGCTAATTTCTCTACTTTTAGTAGAGACGGGGTTTCACCATGTTGGCAAGCCTGGTCTGGAACTCCTGGCCTCAAGTAATCTGCCTGCCTCAGCCTCCCAATGTGATAGGATTACAGGCAAGAGTCACTGCACCCAGCCTCAATTTTCTATTATAGCATTATATCTGAACACTTCAAAGTGATTCACACCAGTCAATTGTCTTTATGTAAAATGAATTTCTTTCTCATGAATTTATCTTTAAATACTTATTTGTCAATCTTTGAATCTCCAGCACCTATCACAGTTTCTAGTATGCTGTACATACTTAAAGTTTGTTCAACTGAACTATATTTAATCATCCACATGATGAGAGTTTAAATCTCTTATTTTAAAAATTAACTGTATTTTATTCAGAGAATGTATGCTGTAATTGTTCCAAATTTTGAAAATGATAAAATTTGTTGTATCATAGAATATGAGAAATTTCTCTGAACATTTTATGTAAACTCAAAAAGAAGTTACTCTGTGGAACAGAAAATGTGTTAAGTAGCCATAATTCTACTTTATCTTACATGAATCTCATTAATGTCATTAAGTATTACTGTGCTTACATCATTTTTATCCAATTTTCTTTGAATTTTTAATCTTTTCTGCTTTAATATCTGTGGCTATGTTGTTCAGCACATACAACTTTTAAAATATTGTTTTCGTTATCAGTTATACATACAGCTACACCATGACTCCAAATCCCTTTATAATTTTACTTTTTTATTCATTTTGTTTTTTTGAGACAGTCTCATTGTGTTGCCCGGGCTGAAGTGCCTGGGTTGATCTCAGCTCACTGAGATCTGCCTCCAGGTTCAAGTGATTCTCCCACATCAGCCTTCTAAGTAACTGGAATTGTAGGCACATGATACTTTGCCCAGCTAATATTTTGTATTTTTAGTAGAGATGGGTTTTCCCTGTGTTGCGCAGGCTGGTCTCAAACTCTTGCACTCAAGTGATCCACCCACCTTGGCCTCCCAAAGTGTTGGAATTACAGGCATGAGCCACCATAACTGGCCTATAATTTTACTTTCAATTCTGTCTTACCTCACATAAAATACCAAGAGAAATGCTGTTTTGTGACCAGTCTGCAAAATTATTCTCACACTAAGTCTGTGAATCACTGAAAGTTTTGTTTCTACTGACATTTTTGGAGTTGTACATTTTACTTCTAAGTTCTTAGTGAAGTCCTTCCTGAATAACTTGCTATTTGTATTACCTTCATTTTTTGAACTTTTTTTGTTTTGGGGTAAGTTGTTTTATTATCCTTGCCATTTTCAACAAGTTGTATTTTTCAAGTGATTTCTTTCTTACTACAGTAAGATGCCTCTCTTTCCTTAAATATTTAACTGTACATTTATCATAAAAATCAAATTTCCATTGAAATTTAATGGTTTCTGTATGTTGCACTTGTCCCAATCTTTCTAGTTTCTCCTCCAATTTTTTTTTAACTTTTATTTTACGTTCAGAGGTGTAAGTGCAGGTTTGTTACATAGGTAAACTTGTGTCATGGAGGTTTGTTAGAGATTATTTTGTTACCCAGGCATTAAGCCTAATACCCATTAGTTATTTTTTCTGTTAGTCTCCTTCCTTCCACCCTCCACCCTCCACCCTCCAAGAGGCCCTAGTATGTGTTGTTCCCCTCTATGTGTCTGTGTGTTCTCATCATTTATCTCCCACTTATAAGTGAGAACATATGGTATTCGGTTTTCTGTTCCTGTGTTAGTTTGCTGAGGATAACGGCCTCCAGCTCCATCTATATCCCTGCAAAGAACAAAGAACATGATCTTGTTCTTTTTTATGGCTGCATAGTATTCCATGGTGTATATGTACCACATTTTCTTTATCCAGTCTATCATTCATGAGCATCTAGGTTGGTTCTGTGTCTTTGCTATTGTGAATAGTGTTGCAATGAACACATTTGTGCATGTGTCTTTATGATAGAATGATTTATATTCCTTTGGGAAAATACTAAGTAGTGGGATTAATAGGTGGAATGGTATTTCTGTCTTTAAGTTTTTGAGAGATTGCCACACTGTCTTCCACAATGATTGAACTATTTATACTTCCACCAACAATGTATAAGCCATCCTTTTCTCCACAACCTTGCTAGCATATGTTGTTTCTTGACTTTTTAATAATAGTCATTCTGACTGGTGTTAGATGGCATCTCACTGTGGCTTTGATTTGCATTTCTCTAATGATCAGTGATGTTGAGCTTTCTTTCATAAGATTATTGGCCACATGTATGTCTTCTTTTAAAAAGTGTCTGTTCATTTTCTTTGCCCAAGTTTTTATGTAGCTTTTGTTTTTTTTCTTGTAAATTTGTATAAGTTCCTCATAGACTTTGGATATTAGACCTTTGTCAGATGAATAGATTGCAAAAATTGTCTCCCACTACGTATGTTGTCTGTTTACTCTTATGTTAATTTATTTTGCTGTGCAGAAGCTCTTTAATTAAATCCCATTTGTCAATTTTTGCTTTTGTAACAATTGCTTTTGGCATCTTCATCATGATATCTTTGCCCATGCCTATGTCCTGAATGGCATTGCCTGGGCTGTCTTCCCAGGTTTTTACAGCTTTAGGTTTTACGTTTACATTGAGTTATTTGTGTATATCATATAAGGAAGGGGTCCAGCTTCTGTTTTCTGCATATGGCTAGCCATTTATCCCAGTACCATTTATTGAATACGGAATATTTTCTCCATTGCATGTTTTTGTCAGGTTTGTCAAAGGTCAGATCATTGTAAGTGTGTGGTCTTATTTCTGGGTTCTCTATTCTGTTCCATTGATCTATGTGTCTGTTTTTGTACCAGTACCATGCTGTTTTGGTTACTGGAGCCCTGTAGGATAGTTTAAAGTCAAGGTAGAGTGATACTTCCAGCTTTGTTCTTTTTGCTTAGAATTGCCCTGTCTATTCAGGCTCTTTTTTTCTTCCACATAAATTTTAAAATAGTTTTCTGCAATTCTGTGAAGAATGTCAATGATAGTTTAATATAAATAGCATTGAATTAATAAATTGCTTTGGGTTGCATAACTAACCATTTTAATGATATTGATTCTTCCTATCCATGAGCATGGAATGTTTTTCCGTTTGTTTCTGTCATCTCTGATTTATTTGAGCAGTGATTTGTAGTTCTTCTTGTAGAGATCTTTCACCTCCCTAGTTAGCTGTATTTCTAGGTATTTTACTCTTTTTGTGTCAGTTGAGAATGTAGTTCATTTCTGATTTGGCTCTCAACTATACTGTTGTTGATGTATAGGAATGCTAGTGATTTTTGCACATTGATTTTTGTGCAAAATTTTTTGATCCTGATATTTCGCTGAAGTTGTTTATAAGCTTAAGAAGCTTTGGGGCTGAGACTATGAGGTTTATTAGATATCAGATCACGTCATCTGCAAACAGAAATAGTTTTACTTCCTCTCATGCCATTTGGATGCCCTTCATTTTTTCTTTTGCCTGATTGCCCTGATCAGAACACCCAAAACTATTTTGAATAGGAGTGGTGAGAGATTGCATCCTTATCTTGTGCGGGTTTGGGAAGGAATGCTTCCAGATTTTACCCATTCAGTATGATGTTGGCTGTGGGTTTGTGATATACGGCTCTTATTATTTTGAGGTATGTTCCTTCAATACCTAGTTTATTGGGAGTTTTTAAGATGAATGGATATTGAATTTTATCAAAAGCCTTTTCTGCATCTATTGAGATAATCATGTGGTTTTTGCCTTTAGTTCTGTTTATGTGATGAATTACATTTATTGATTTGCAATGTTGGACCAACTTGCAACCCAGAGATGAAGCATACTTGATCATGGTGGATAAGCTTTTTGATGTGCTGCTGGCTTCAGTTTGCCATTATTTTGCTGACGATTTTTGCCTCGATGTTCATCAAGGATATTGGTCTCAAATTTTCTTTTTCATTGTATATCTGCGAGGTTTTTATATCAGGATGATGCTGGCCTCATAGAATGAGTTATCTCCTCCCTTTCTTAAAATAACTTTACATATATTAAAATTTCATTTTGTAGAATGGAAATCTAAATTTCACCCTAACATAGTTCTCTATTAAATTCATTTCTTTCCCTTTACCATATGATTTATATAATAAAGAAAATGAGAAGTGTTACAAAGTTAATAACTAAGTGGAAAAGTGAAAAATATAAATAAATGCTAATCTCATTTGTATAAAATTATCAGTGCTTGTCTTCTTCATCCTGATCCTCATTTTCTTGCTTCATCCTATGCATAGCCTATTCTTCACTTTCAGTCAATTTATGTTTTCACAGGGTTATTCATCAAATAGACAAATTAAAACTCCGGCAAGTCCCTAGTTTCTTCCTCCTCATTATATCAAAGTACTGCTTTCCCTATTTCTCTGAACTTTTCCCTTTAGACAGCTTCATATTTCCTATTCCCTAATGTATAGATGTAGCTATAGATATATGGAAATAGATATATTTAAACAAGTCTGACTTCAAAGGATAATGCTGATTGGTGTCACCTTTCAAAGGTCAGAGTTCCACTTGGGAAGATCCTAAGCGTGGCATTCATTTGATGCATCCTGGTAGTCCAACATCTGGTCTTCCAGAAACATCAAATAATCCTTTCAACAAACATTTGCGAGGGAACCTCTAGTGCCAGGAAAAGTACTAAACATTGATGATAAAAGGATGGGTAGTTGAACAATTCTTCTGATTTAACAAAGAATAGTCTGATCTCCAGTGTCCAGCAAAAATGCCATTCTAAAAGAAAGGAGAAAAGACCCATAGTGATCCTTCCAAAAGTATTACTAAAAGCATGGTGGGGGAAGGAGTATAAAAATAACAGCGGGCAAACAATGAAGCTAAACATGACATTAGGTTGAAATAACAATGAAATATAGAAGTAAAATTTTGCATATAAAATTTCAAATCTCAGGTAATATAAATGTCAAAGAACAAGGGAAATGTAAACATGTTCTCATTCTTCCCCTTTTCAGGGGAATAATTTTGATGCTGAATATAAATATCTACTTATAACTATTAATATATGCATATCTAAATATGGTCAAGAATAACACAAATAGGAAGTAAATACTTACTAAAAATACTTGTGTTTACTAGGTGTGTGATGACTCATGCTTGTAATTTCAGCACCTTGGGAGGCTGAGGGTGGATGGCTTAAGCCCAGGAGTTTGAGGCCAGCCTGGGCAACATGACAAAACTCTTGTCTCTACAAAAGATACAAAAATTAGCCTGGCATAAAGGCATGCACCTGTCATCCCAGCTACCCAAGAGGCTGAGGTGGAAAGACTGCTTGAGGCTGAGGTGGAAAGATTGCTTGAGCCTGGGAGGTTGAGACTGCAGTGAGCAGTGATTACACCACTACATTTCAGTGAGACAGTGTCACTCAGGGTGACAGTGAGACCCTGTCAAAAAAAAAAAACTGCATTTATAAACTTGATTTAACAAAGTATAATTAATTAAATCAAAGGCAAAAAAGATACAAAAAAGAAAAATGCAGAGCGTGATAAAGAGAAAATTTATTAAGATTGTAGGCATAAGTCCAACTGTATCAATAATCAGAAAAATGTGAATGTATTAAAACAAGGAAAAAGATACATTTACACAAAACAAGATACTTAAAATTTAGAATCAACACTTCAATTTTGAAAATTTGAAACTGGTTGAAGTGGATGATTTTTCTAGAATAAATATAAACTACTAAATTTTACTCTTAAAAATTAGAAAAACTGAAAACCTAATATATCAAAAGCTGTAGTGAAAAACATTAAAAGAAAGTAAAAGTTATAATTATCACCATCATTATCATGATCAAGCACAGTGTGTGTGTGTGTGTGTGTGTGTGTGTGTGTGTGTGTGTGTTGAGATGGGTGAATTCTACCTATGTTTTTCCAAATTCTGATAATTTCCTTTTTAAATAACTTTTTTTTCTAGACTATATAACTCCACAATTCAACAAGAGAAACTAACATAAATCTGATGACAAATTGGTAAGTAAAACTCAGGAATCAAAACCTAGAAAAACAGATGCAATAATCATAAACAAAATATTGAAAGTTGACTACACCAGAAGGGAGAGGAAATAAAGAGAGTAAGTTGTGTGTGAAGATGAGATGAGTTGGGATATTACTTCTCAAAGAGTTGCCTGTCATAGAGTAGAGATTCTTCCTCTGTGAAAATCCATGCAGATTTTAGGTTTGGTTGGAGGAGAGACCTTAGAACTCAAGTGTGATGGTTTCGGGGTTTTTTTGTTTGTTGTTTGTTTGTTTTTTGTTTGTTTTTGAGATGGAGTCTCTCTCTGTTGCCCAGGCTACAGTGCAGTGGTGAGATCTCGGCTCACTGCAGCCTCTGCCTCCCGGGTTCCAGTGATTCTCCTGCCTCATCCTCCTGGGTAGCAGGGATTACAGGTGTGCACCACCACGCCCAGCTAATTTTTGTATTTTTAGTAGAGATGGGGTTTCACCATGTTGGCCAGGCTGGTTTCAACTCATGACTTCAGGTGATCCACCTGCCTTGGTTTCCCAAAGTGCTAGGATTACAGGCATGAGCCACTGTGCCCAGCCGATGGTTTCATTTTTTTAATTTCAATGATGTGGGAAAACTGTATCAATCACTTAAGAGTTGGAAGAGGACTAAATATAACACACTAGAGAAAAGTCATATAATTGCTGGGCATTATTAGGGGGTCCATGTGAGGTTATAATCATAAGTTTAAAGTGTTATTAATATCTTTTTGTGTTTTCTTGATTTAGTAATTTTCTTTTTATATTCATAATAGTTTTCTTGACCTGGCTTATTTATTTTTAAAAATGACTGATCAAATTTTATACATGCAAGTCTTAGTTGAAAACCTGAATTAGAACATCTTTCAATGTCTTTGTTGTTATTGCTGTGAATTTATTTCAGATAATTGGTTTTCTGCTTCTTCAGAGTCATCAGCTCCCAACTCCACTTTTTAAAACATCTATGTTAATTACAAATATGCTTGCAAATACACTGATTTTCTTTTGATCATTCTAATTTTTGGAGGGCTCTGGGCTCTCCAGTGTATATTAGTAGAACTCTTTTATCATCCAGTTAATTTTCTTTATTTAAATGTAAATTGTAGTTTCACTGGCAGGAGAATGGTGAGTGTGCCCACTAGGATTTCTTTAATTCTGAGGTTTATATATTAGAAATTTTCTGAAAGAACTGTAATAATGTGGTTCTCTTAGTTCTAGCACTCATCTATTTTATTTCTGCTTTTACATTGATGTTAATTTTCTCAGAAATCTTATAGAAAAACTACATATTTATAATTAAATCCCATCATATAAATACATAGTCCAACTAGTTTTCTATTTATAAAGGTAAGTATTGGTGGGGTAGGTTGGGGGAGATGTATCTCCAGTTTTCTCTGTGATAAAAAATACCTATTAAATGTCAATCTCATCACACATATTCCCCATATTCCATTCATACATATCCACCTATAGATATCAAACAGGGGAGCAAATAAAACTACTTATAACCTAAGCTCAAAGCATAAGTAGGAGACAAAATAATAACAACACAAACTTCGATACACATATAAGTAGAAAGTAAACATCAAACCCAGCAGTCTTGAGTGATCACCAAAACAGAAAGGTAGATGAAGACTGGTAGGAGACAGTGGAGAGGAAGAGGGCATCCATCAATGATGGAACACAGAATAAATCTTTCTCACCCAAGAAAGCGTGACATGTATGCAAATTTAAGAATACTGAAAACAAGTCTGAAACATGAATAAGACCACTGGCGACAAGGAAATCTTTTGAGGGAGAGATGAAAACATTTCAGGAGAATATGATCCTGGGACGCTTAGTGTTTAGCAGAAAAAAAGAAGGAAACCACAGTAAGGAACCACATACCTGTGAAAGAATAAATCCTCCCCTAACCATAAAAGGGGTCCATTTGGTATAGTGACTGCACTTCACTTAACCAACAGAAAACCACGCCTCTGAATGTTAGAAAACTATTAAACCCCGATCTCACACCATTCCTTTTAATACTGGTGCCGAAAAATATGAAATATTTAGAAAGGCACTGAACACAAGGCAATATTAATAAATAGCAGCAGTAGAAGAAAATAGACCATGAAAATTAAAGCATTCTTCCTCAGCCTCCAACTATGAAGCAGAAAAACCTTTAGCATGACAATCCAACCTGACTTAAATATGCTTAAACACAAACATACTGATATAAAAGGCAACACATTTCAAAAAATATGTTGAAAAATCAAGATAACAAGTGAACAAAAAAGAAAGAAATTGAGAAAAAAATAAAATAGAGAAATATTTAACTTAAAAGATTCATAAGAAAGGATGAATTTAATAGAAAATAATCAAAGCAATTTAGTATATGAATCAGTAGTTAAAAGTAAAAAAATTAAATAAAAAAGTGCCAAGAAAAAATGATATCTGTAGAAAGTAGGCAAAAGTTATCCAATATATATTTAATTAGAGATACTAAATAAAAATTAATGAAATCATGGAAAATACTAATATGTAAAACTTGTAATTAAAAAATTTAAAAAATAAAAGAAAACTCCCTTGACCTTTGGAAGTTCTGTGTACTTTGGAATAACTGAAATATTTCAGCCAAGTCTGAGAATGTTTTAAGTAACAGAATGTAAAAATAAAGAAATAATTATTTTGACTGTATAGATATATAACCATTAGAAAATGCAACAATTTCAAATCACTCAAGAAAGCTTGAACTAAAATTATTATATTTGATCAATCTGTGTCATATGAAGTCTACAAAAACATAGTTTTAGACATGAAAGGACTCAGGAACACTCTACCTTGAGCCTTCCTGAGGATTTTGCCAGAGGGTGAGCTTGGTCCCATCACAAGTTACCTGGAGGTACTACCAAAAAAAAAAAAAAGTTGGGGGGAGGGGCCGATAATAAATGTTAAACTCTTAGAATTTTAAATATTAGTCTTAATCAAAGTGTACTAAATGTAAATGTTATGTGTTTCCTGTATAAAGTAGAAATAACATAGCCCCCAAAATGGGGGAGAAATAAGAGAGAAAGAAGGGAAAGTAGGATGAATTAATGGATATGGCAGACAGAGTGGTATACTGGAGTGGGCTCAGATGAGTTTTCAAGAAGTGATTATGCAAATCTGAGTTTCTTTCCCTGAATGCATTTAGTGACATCATGTTGGTAGCTTGCCATTGGTAATAGTGGGAATATTTCCGTCACTGAAATAAACACACCAGAGCTTTTTCTCTCCCGACCCCTGTGGATGGCAGTTGATAAAGATTTACCAGTATGCCACTGTGCACAGATATTAAATAGGTAATAATAAAAAATAACTTAAAATTAATAAACCAAAAAACATGTTCAAGTAAAAAAAAGAAAGAAGACAAGATAAAAGGAAGGAAGAGGAAAAGAAGGAAGAAGAGAAACAGAGAAAGACCAAGAGAAATAGAAAAGTCATTAATATAAAGGTAATCACTAGTTAAAACTACAGATCCTCCAAATTCCAAATTAAATGTCCAATTTAGCAAAAACAGAATCAAACCCAATAAATATAACAAAATCTACATAGCTGTAGTACGTAAATCTTAGCCCAAACACAATGGTCACACTACAAATACAAATAGGCTTATTAAATCTAATAACAGAAAAAGGTATTCAGATCTGGATACAAAGAGAAACCCAGCTCAATGCTGTATAATTGCTACTGTAGAGAAATGAAATAAATCTATTCAAAAAGAGTTTGTAAAAGGTGTAGGGGGCAGGAGATTGGGGGGCGGTGACAGAAAAAGTATACCAGGAAAATGCAAACACTAGGAAAAGAGTGGTTGTGATCCTGATAACAGAGAAAGAACAATTCAAGACAAAAAGCATGAAATGAGGCAACGAATGACATTTAAAAATGATTAAGACTGAAATTCATAGTGGATGTATAAGAATTATCAATATCTATGTCTATGGAACAAATAGCACAGCAAACATACAAAGAGAAAATATTTTTTAAATCAGCGATTAATAAAAACAAAACCACAAATAGTTAGAGATTGCAATACATTGCTCTCAGTTCAAGAAAGGTCAAGCGACATCAAACAATATAACAAATAAAGTAGATCTTGAATTTTATAACTTGGTAATAAATAACACAGTCATAAACATACTCTGAACATTTGCAAAACATGACAACCTTTAAAATATCTCTATATATATAATTTCTGGGAATAAGAGAAAATATCAATAATATTCACTGATCTCAAAGCAATAAAAGTTGAAGAAAAAGCATAAATGAAATGGCCCTTCTTTGTGTAATATTTTAAAATCATTATTAAACAACCCTTGTATAAATGATGACTAAAATAAAATGTAGAGAATTTCTTAAAAGTAGTGATCTTGAAAACCTACAAATTAGAACATTTTTGTGGTAAAACTAAAGAAGTGATCACAAGAGAATTTGTAGCCTTGAATACTTACATAAATAAAAGCTAAATAAAATAATTGAAAAAATTTTCTGCTCAAAATGTGTAATACATGAACAACCAAATAGGCTACAAAAAAGGCAAAAGTTGAGATAAATGATAAATACAGGAAAGAATGAGCTAAAAACCAGAAAAAAAGAGTAGAAATACAAACATAAAGGCAAAAAGTTAGTTTTTCAGTCAATAAATAGGCAAAAAAATTAATAAATAATTCAATCAAGAAAAAAAGTACAAGTATAGTAAATAACTGTAGTAAAAAGTAAGAAATAACTAAGTAAAAGTAAAGGAAATAACTATTAAAGAAAGACAATTACAAATTGGTACATAAGATAGATAGATCTGTTTCACAGAAATCTATGTAAGTACATTTGAAAACCTAGATAAAATGAATAATCTCTTAAAAAATACAGTCGTGAAAATTAACCCCAGGAGGCAACGATGGTAGATACATGAATTTATGCATTTGTAAATGTCCATAGAACCACATATCCCAATGAATGACTAAATACTCTGAATATTCACAAAACATGAAAATATTTAAGGACACCAAAAATACCTATATAATTTCTATAAATATGAGTTAATAACATAACATTCTCTGATCTCAAAGCAATAAAACTAAAAGTAAAAATGTAAGCAAACTAAAACCAAAATCTAGCATGATCAACCAAGATGTCTGGGGTCCCAAGAATTGAATGCAAATTGCGATAAATGAATCTAACTGTGTTACAATATGACAAATGTATTACATATTACACAAAATGAGGTGAAAGGAAAAAAGAGGCTGAATTACACAATTCTGCAAAATGATGTCTGGAAACTGTAAGGCTAAAGATCAAAGGAACCATAAATAAACATAATTCTCTGGTCGGCAAGTTTGTTTCTCATTTGGTTATAGGTAAGCAATTATGAAATTTTTTCTGCCTACGGAGATTGAACAGTGAAATAAATGGCGAATGGTGGGAACCATATTTCTCCACGTTGGAATAGGATATTATAGATAAGCAGATGAGAAGGCTAGAATGAATCCTGTGGTGCTGTATTAGAGTTAGAAACATCAACATGAACTTATGTTTATCTGAATGTATTCATAGAATATAGACAGAGACACCTTTATATATGTGTGTGTATACAATGGCTAGTGATCATACATATATTAACCAAATCTGTTCCTTGAGAGGGCCCATAAACAATGACACCCGAGTAGTAATGAACATGGCCAATGCAGAGATCTAGAAAATACCATCCTCTAACAAAAGCAAGCAGGTCTTCTTAAATAAATGAATAATTTTAGAGCTGAGGCTTGAAATACGCATGATGAGCTTGCAATATCTGTAATGCCAGAAAGGAAGGAAGTTCTCTAAAAACAAAAGAATGATGAAAAGAACAGGAGATTTGGGACGCTGAGGTGGGTGGATCACTTGAGGTCAGGACTTCGAGACCAGCCTGGCCAACATGTTGAAACCCCCATCTCTACCAAGAAAAAACAAAAATACAAAAATTAGCCAGGCATGGTGGCACATACCTGTAGTCCCAGCTAATAGGGAAGCTGAGACATGAGAATTGCTTCTGGGAGGCAGAGGTTGCAGTGAGTTGAGATTGTGCCACTTCACTCCAGCCTGGGCAACAGAGTGAGACCATGTCTAAAAAAAAAGAACATATGAGCCAACCTGAAAGATGAAATAAATAATGCAGCATTGGATTATAACTCAAAGGATAAAATAAATATACCTGAATCAAATGAATATGAAAAAACGATTGAACAAATATATGAGGGAGAAGTAACAAATCTTCCATATAGAAAAATTCCAAATAATACATGTAGAATTCAGCAGTTCCCACCCCTCTTGAGAATAAACTTATCTTAGTGACTCACTGTCCATGAATACAGTAGGTAAATAAATAAATAATAACTTTACAGATAAGAAACCTAACAAATACTACCTTAACCAAATCATTAAATTAGCAACATCAGTGACGTCAAGTGGACATCATGTATTACCTGAAATCCAAAATATATTACCCAGGTGGTAAAATACTTGTACACTAAGAATTACAAAACTTTGATGAAAAAAATTAAAGGAGACACAAATAAATGGAAAGACATCCTGTATTCATGAATAGGAAGACTTAATTTTGTTAACACTTCATATATTACCCAAAGCTGTCTATAGATTCAATGTGTTTCCTATCAAAATACCAAAGACATTTTTCACAGTGATAGAAAAATAATCCTAAAACACATATGGAACCATAAAAGACCCTAAATAGCCAAAGCAATCTTGGGAAAGGAAAACAAAGCTGGAGTCACATTTCTGACTTCAAAATATATTACAAAGCAACATTAATTAAAGTAGTATGGTAACGGCATAAAAACAAACATATGGATCAATGGAACAGAATAGAACAGAGATATAAGAAATAAACCCACCCTTATACTATCAACTGATCTTTGACAAGGATGATGCTAAGAATACACAATGAGGAAAGATAGTATCTTCAACAGATGGCCACAGTAAAACCATATATCTACATGTAAAATAATGAAATTGGGCTGATTTTTTTTGCATTATACACTAAAGTCAAGGAAAAATTTATTAAAGATTTAAACAGAAAGCCTAAAAGTCTGAAAATCTTAGAATAAGAGAGAGGAAAAGCTTTATGGCATTGGCCCAGACCATAATTTCTTGATTATGACACAAAAAGAACAAGAAACTAAAGCAAGAAAAGACATTGGGACTATATCAAACTAGAAGTCATCTGCAAAGCAAAGGAAACAATAAACAGAGTCAAAAGGCAACCACCAGAGTGGGAGAAAATATTTGCAAGTCATATATCTGATAAAGAGTTAACATTTACAATTGCTACAGAGAGAATAAAATACCTAGGAATACAACTTACAAAGGACTTGAAGCACCTCTTTAAGGAGAACCACAAACCACTGCACAAGCAAATAAGAAAGGACACAAACAAATGGAAAAATATCCCATGCTCATGGATAGGAAGAATCAGTACTGTGAAAATGGCCATAGCGCCTAAAGTAATTTGTAGATTCAGTGCTTAGGATTGTTTTGGCTATACAGGCTCTTTTTTGGTTCCAAATGAAAATTTAAAGTAATTTTTTCCAGCTGTTCAAAGAAAGTCACTAGTAGCTTGAAGGGAATAGCACTGAATAAAACTAACTTTTTGCCTTTATGTTTGTATTTCTACTCTTTTTTTCTGGTTTTTAGCTCATTCTTTCCTGTATTTATCATTTATCTCAACTTTTGCCTTTTTTGTAGTCTATTTGGTTGTTCATGTATTACACATTTTGAGCAGGTGAATATTATTATTATTCAAGGGTGAATAATATTTCATTGTATGTATACACCACAGTATATCCATTCATCTATCCATGGATATTTAGGTTGTTTCCATATCTTGGCCATTGTGAATAACGCTGCAATGAGCATGAGATTAGAGATATCTGTTCAATATAGTAATTTAAATTCCTTTGTATATATATTCAGAAGTGAAATTGCTGGGTTATGTTAGTTCTATTTAAAATTTTTGAGGGATCCCCATATTATTTCCATAGCTGCCGAACCATTTTATATTTCAGCCACCAAGGTACAAGGATTCCAATTTCTTCATATCCTCACAAATACTTTTTGTTTTCTTTTATAATGGCTATCCTAACAGGTGTAAGTGATATATCATTGCGGTTTTGATTTGGATTTCCTTGATGATAAGTTATGTTGAGCATCTTTTCACATATCTGTTGACCATGTGTATGTCTTTGGAAAAATGTCTACTCAGATGTTTTGCCCATCTTATAATTAAGTTATTTGGATTTGTTTTTGTTTGTTCTTGCTATTAGTTGTAATAGTTTTAAATATATTTTGGATATTAATGCCTTTTTCTCTCTTTTTTTTTAAAAAAAACTTTAAGTTCTGGGATACATGTGCAGAATGTGCAGTTTTGTTACATAGGTATACATGCACCATGGTAGTTTGCTGCACCTATCAACCCATCATCTAGGTGGGTTTTTTTTTTTTCTCTTTTTTTGAGATGGAGTCTCGCTCTGTCGCTAGGCTGGAATACAGTGGCACGAGATTTTGGCTCACTGCAATCTCCACCTCCTGGGTTCAAGTGATTCTCCTCATTATCTAGGTTTTATGCCCTGCATGCATTAGGTATTTGTCCTAATGCTCTCCCTCTCCTTTCCACCTACCCACCGACAGGCCCTGGCGTATGTTGTTCCCCTCCCTGTGTCCATGTGTTCTCATTGTTCATCATACATGTGCATGTGTCTTTATAGTAGAATGATTTATAATCCTTTGGGTATATACCCAGTAATGGGATTGCTAGGTCAAATGGTATTTCTGGTTGTAGATCCTTGAGGAATCGCCACACTGTTTTCCACAATGGTTTAACTAATTTACACTCCCACCAACAGTGTAAAAGCGTTCCTATTTCTCCACAGCCCCACCAACATCTATTGTTTCCTGAATTTTTAATAATCACCATTCTGACTGGCATGAGATGCTGTCTCATTGTGGTTTTGATTTGCATTTCTTTAATGATCAGTGATGATGAGCTTTTTTTCTTATGTTTGTTGGCCACATAAATGTCTTCTTTTGAGAAGTGTCTATTCATATCCTTGCACACTTTTTGTTGGGGTTGTTGGTTTTTTTCTTGTAAATTTGTTTAAGTTTCTAGTAGATTTTAGGTATTAGAACTTTATCAGATGGGTAGATTGCAAAAATTTTCTCCCATTCTGTAGGTTGCCTGTTCACTCAGATGACAGTTTCTCTCACTGTGCAGAAGCTCTTTAGGTTAATTAGAGCCAATTTATCAATTTTGGCTTTTATTGAAATTGCTTTTGGTGTTTTTGTCATGAAGTCTTTTCCCATGCCTACATCCTGTATGGTATTGACTAAGTTTTCTTCTAGGGTTTTTATGGTTTGGGGTTGTATATTTAAGTTTTTAATCCATCTTGAGTTATTTTTTGTATAATACGTAAGGTAGGAGTCCAGTTTCAGTGTTCTGCATATGGCTAGCCAGTTTTCCCAGCATCATTTATTGAATAGGGAATCCTTTCCCCATTGCTTGTTTTTTTCAGGTTTGTTGAAGATCAGATGGTTGTAGATGTGTGGTGTTATTTCTGAGGTCTCTGTTCTGTTCCATTGGTCTGTATATCTGCTTTGGTACCAGTACCATGTGGTTTGGTTTACTGTAGCCTTGTAGTGTAGTTTGAAGTCAGGTAGTGTGATGTCTCCAGGTTTGTTATTTTTGCTTAGTTTTTCAGTCAATAAATAGGCAAAAAAATTAATAAATAATTCAATCAAGAAAAAAAGTACAAGTATAGTAAATAATTATTCTTCATTTTCCAAGGTAAGGTGAAATCAAAAATACAACGTTAAGAAGTCACTTACTCAATTTGATACAGCTCCAACAATTTCAAGGGGATTCAATGTTGAAGGAAGCAATTTTCTTTATTTAATCCCATTTTCTCTTATTTTTCTTGTCATTTTTTTTTTGTTTACTCTATGATCATCTTGACAAATGCCAACTTTTACATAAATGTTTGCATTTCAAGCGATGAGAGGAAGATTAAGGCATCTATATGTTCTCTAGAAAGCCAACCTATATATACTAGTGTGGAAATAAGTAGCTAAGATTTACCAAGAAACAAATACAATAATTTCTTAAAATATAAAGCTTCCTGAGATTATATTTGGAAATAAAAAGTAAAATATGCCTTTTGTTTTTAAAAGAACTACATGTTGCTGATGGGAAATCAGTATTTCTGAAAGGTAGAGTGTTAGTTATTTTGGAATGCTTATGGCAATGATGATCACATTGACATTGGTTTGTCTACTTCCAGGTTGGGAGCACGTATAAGATGGGAAAGGTAATTATAAGGCCTTTGAGGTAATTTATTCTTACCCTTTAATGTCTGATAATACATTAATGACGCAGTTAAAATCTCTAGGCTAAAAAGCAAGTTTAGGTTATATCACAACCAAAGTTAGTAAAGAAAAGCCAAATAGAGTAATCTTAACAGAATTTACTCCTCTTACATGACTCTACACTTAGAGAAGGTAGCATTCAATATTTTTTAAAATAAATCCGCTAAGTTTTCCTACTTTATATGCCCTGTTTTGCTTCTCTGTTTTAATAACCGAATTTCTCAAATATTATCAAGGGAAATTTTAAATTTGTGTGTTTTGGAAAGAAATTTAGCTCGTATGTACTCCTGAGAATCTGATTCTCAGTGAACTTTATGTCCTTTGCCAGTTCTATCTATCTATCTATCTATCTATCTATCTACCTATCTATTGTCTATTTAATTTATTTTATTATTTTAGGTTCGGGGGTACAGATGCAGGTTTGTTACATGGGTAACTTGTGTGTCACTGAGGCTTGGTATATGAATAAACCTGTTACCCACATAGTGAGCATGGAGTTTAAATCTCTTAGAAAATACCTAGAGAACAGTACTCAAGTACATTTTGCTTCTTGTACAGCATACACTTTTGCTTTTACGAGCTATATATACAAATGAACTTTCTTTGGAAATAGTTTGACAGATACCTTAGCTTTTTCCATTTTGAGGAGGTAGTAGAAAAAGTTTTCAGAAGAAGGCAAGACAGTCAAAGGGCTTTCAGAGGAAAAAGCACATTTACATACTCTGACATATCTTGTAAGTGCAAATTACTAGCAAGCATAATTATCATCTTGGAATTCATATCTATTTGGTAGTATAGGAAAATTTTAAAAAGAGAGTGAAAAAGTAAAGTTCTACTTGTAAGGAAAAAAGAATGAGAAAAGAGTGATGTTAAGTGTGAAAGGACTTGACTACATGTCTATAATTTAACCTCAGATGTTCCAAAAATGTGAGATGTTATCTAAATAAATGCTCTTTGGTTTTATGATATTCAGTTGACTTGAGAGTACGTGGAAATGTTCTCAATTTCCTCTGCTTAAAACATTTTAACTTGTCAAATTATTATTCCTTTTTGAGACAGAATTTCACTCTATTGCCCAGGCTGGAGTGCAGTTGTGGGATCATGGCTCACTGCAGCCTTGAATTCCCAGGCTTAAGTGATCCTCTTGCTTCAGCCTTCCAAGCAGCGGGGACTACAGGCATGCACCACCATATCCATCTACTTACTTTTTTTTTTTTTTTTTTTTTTAGAGAGAGGTTCTCACTATGTTGCCCAAGCTGGTCTTGAACTCCTGGCTCAAGCAATCTTCTTGCCTCTGCCTCCCAAACTGTTAGGATTGCAGACATGAGCCACTGCACCAAACCATAATTATTATAACTAAACAGCAAAAACTACTTGCATATCATTTTTGTAAAAAATGTAAATTTTCTACAGTAAAAATACAGATAAAACATCAAAATTTAATTTTAAATACTGAATTTTTCAACACTGGAAAACTCAAGCTATTAAGGGAATATCTGTATTTAACTTTCAAAAAAACCCTTATTTTTCAGACTTGGAAAATAATATCTGCATTTCTTTCAATGTGCAGGCTATCCTGTATTTATAATTTTATTATCTCCTGAAAACTGAAAGTAAATCTACTGAATGCAGTGCTTCTGCAATGACTAGTGTCAGTGGATTCAGGTGGGTATGATTATTCTAAGGGTTACCCTAAGCTTAACGTTATAATAATGGAGAGTTTTTCAGTTGTACTTGGTTTCTTAACATTCTCTGATATCTAACCTATGATAAGGAGTCAAATTTAACTTAATGGTTTAGTTAAGAAAAGAAACAAGGATACCCTAGAGGAAAAATAAATAAATAAACACTTCAATAAGCTCTTGTTCCAGTTGCATCCCTGGTTCCCCACAGCACTGAGCATGACGAGGTATTGTCCACTTTCTAAGCTCCCAGTTTCATTTGTTATAAATATGGAGTGAAAAGAGAGCTACCCTGAGAGTTAGAAATTATTTTTTGTTCTCACCATAAACTAGGACTTTCTAACTTTGCTTGGGCCTATGTTATTTCTGCAGAATGTACTTAATAGCTTCAGACAACACAATTTCAGTTGCTCTGTATAGTAATAACTAGTTTCATATTGAGCATTGTAAATTACAAATCAATACAGACTTAGAGCTAGGTAAATATATCTCTTGGTTTTCTGACTTTCACTGAAGGAAAGGTGAAGATGGAAGGAATCTAAATAATGTTGATGCCACTTACTTGGCATTCTCAAAATAATACCTAGCCACAAGTATTATTTTAAAACTTTATTATCTGTCTAAATCCTAAGTCTTATTTCTGATGAATTCTAAAAGCAGCTCTCAGTATTATGCTTTTACGATGCTAAATTGTTGTTATAACCAAAATTTCATTAAACCTGAAAATGTTTTAGAGGAATAGGCACTTTCTAGAAATTCTGTACATGGAAAAAAAATAAGATCCTCCCCTGATGACTTACTGAATGCAATGTAAGTAAATTAATCGTTTTTGCTGTCTCTGACATGATAAAGTTGTTTGGCACAAATGAAGGCATATACAAAATTGATGGGCAATTTCTTTTAAATTACAATTGAGATGGGATGAGCTGCCAAGATTTCTTTTATGAAGCAATCTCACAAGTGTCTCTTGGGCTGAAATTCTTGTAAGAGAATGTTTAACTCAGGCTGTGCCACTTATTTAAAACATGCATATCTAGTGTACACACCCAGCTGAAATCAGCCAAGAAATGTCAGATTTCTATTCTTAATTATCCAAAATAGAATCAATTCTAATAACATGGAATAAGCCCTTGTGTGTGTTGGGTGTCTTTAGTTGTTATCTCAGCTAGACCTCTATCATTCACTGTGTAATCTTTGCCATGACTCCAAACCTGTTTGGTTTTCACTCTCTCATCTGTAAAAGACAAGAGATGGTTTGAATCACTGGTTTTCCATTTCATAGTCTTATGGGTTGAATTGTGGTTCTCCCAACATTTATATGTGGAACTCCTAACCCCCAGTACTTTATGATGTGACGTTACTGGGGAATAGGGTTGTTGCAGATGTAATTTAGTTAGGTTAGGTTGAGGTAACACTAAAGTAGGTTGAGTCCCTTAATCCAATAACATTAGTTTCAATTTGGAATAGTACAGTAGAATGGGACAACCAGTTTAACAAAGAGTAAGAAAAGACATTCCAGTCAATTACTGTTTGACAAATCAAGATCATGTTTTATAATAAAGTATGATGTAAATATTATTCAATTGCAGACAGCACAAGTTGTAAAAAAAATTAGTTCTGTTTAAGAATCATTTAACTAGCAAAGAATCAAAAGTAATATTTTATAAATAATTTTTAATGGGAGAAAATTCTAGCATATTCATGCAGATCGTGCTATAGCATGGTGAACTGAAAATCAGCACCCAAAGATATCCATATCCTAATCCCCAGAACTTTCAAATATTTTCTTATATAGCAATAGAGATATTGCAGATATGATTAAATCAAGTATCTTAATATTGAAAGCTAACGTAGATTATCTGGGTGGGCCTTAAATGTAATCACAAGCATCCTAATAGAAAGGTGGCAAAGGGAGATTTCACTCTAGAAGAGGAATAGGAGATGTGATGACAGAACAAGAGATTGGCATGGTGTGATGAAGGAATACAAGCCCAGGATTTTGGGAGTCCTCCAAATGCTAGAAAAAGAAAAGAAATGAAATATCTCCTCAGAGCCTCCAGAAGGAACAAGCCCTACTTACACTACACTTTATTCCATGGAAACTGACTTTGAACTTCTGACCTCCAGAACTCTAAAAGAATACATTTTTGTTGTTTTAAGCCACTAAGTTACAGCAAGAGTAAAATAATACATATAACATCTCTCACACTTTTTTTTTGAATTAGAATTCTTTCCTTTCCCCTTTCTACATAATTCCCTCTCAATCTAAAACAGTATAGGCAACTTTTAGCCAGATCACTCGAATCTTTTCCAACTCAATGGATTCAATAAGAATGATTCATTAATAGTTAGGGAAGCTTTTCCCCTCTGCTCTACGGTGCAAGAGAAAGTTTTTATACCTGTTTAACTCAAAGTAATGATGGGTAGATACCTACTGCATACATAATCAATTACCAGAAACACTATGAATATGAAATGTGGGTATCATTGAACTATCAACTCAATGCATAGCAACAAGCTACTACTGTTGGACCATCATCTAGAGGGAGAGGTTTTGTGAGGCCTTTCAAATCATACTAGTTCATATTAGGTGTTGCACAAATTGGAAGATATAAATCAGAGGATATAAGTTGTCTGAGCCATTGAAAATACACTTATTGAAATAAATGTCCATTCCCGTTTTCAACCTAAAAGCAAAAATTTTATGAATTTTAAGAACTCTTATTTTTGAGTCACTGCCAACCTACCTGGTGATTGTCATTAATTAGAGTCAAAATATTCTTTTTAACTTTTATTTTAGGTTTAGGGGTACACACGCAGATTTGTTGTAAGGTCAGTTGCATGCTATGGGTGTTCGATGTGCAGATTATTTTGTCACCCAGGTAATAATCATAGTACCCTATAGGTAGTTTTTTGATCATCTCCCTCCTCCAACCCTCCACCCCAGTGTAGGCTCTGGTGTCTATTGTTCCCTTCTTTGTGTCCATGTGTACTCAAAGTTCAGCTCCCACTTATGAGTGAGAACATGCAGTATTTGGTTTTCTGTTCCTGCATTAGTTTGATTACAATAATGGCCTCTAGTTTCATCCACGTTGCTGTAAAAGACATGATTTCATTCTTCGTTTTATGACTGCATAGTATTCCATGGTATATATGTACCACATTTTCCTTTTCCAGTCTATCACTGATGGGCATTTAGGTTCATTTCATGTCTTTGCTATTATGAATGGTAATGCAGTGAAGGTATGTGTACATGTGTCTTTATGGTAGGATGATTTAAATTTCTTTGGGTATATACCCAATGATGGGATTGCTGGGTCAAATATTAATTCTGTTTTAAGTTATTTGAGAAATTGTTATGCTGCTTTCCACAATGGCTAAACTATTTACATTCCCACCAGCACTTTATAAGCATTCCCTTTCCTCCACAACCTCACCAGTATTTGTTATTTTTTATTTTTTAAAAGTAGCCATTCTGACTAGTGTGAGATGGTATCTCATTGTAGTTTGATTTCCATTTCTGTAATAATCAGTGATGTTGAGCATTTTTTCTTATGCTTGTTGGTCACATGTATGTCTTCTTTTGAAAACTGTCTTTTCATGTCTTTTGCCCATGTTTTAATGTAGTTGTCTTTTGCTTTTTAATTTGTTTAAGTTCCTTATAGACTCTGGGTATTACACCTTTGAGGGGTACAGTTTGCAAACATTTCTCTCCCATTCTGCAGGTTCTCTGTTTACTCTGTTGATAGTTTCTTTTGCTGTGCAGAAGCTCTTTAGTTTAATTAGGTCTCATTTCTCAATTTTTGTTTTTATTGCAATTGCTTTTAGTATCTTCATCATGAACTCTATCCCAGAGCCTATGTCGAGAAAGGTATTTCCCAGTTTACCTTCCAGGGTTTCTATAGTTTTTGGTTTCAGACTTAAGTCTAACTCATCTTGAATTCATTTTGATATATGGTATAAAGAAGTGGTCTAGTTTCAATTTTCTGCATATGGCTAGCCAGTTATTCCAGCACCAGTTATTGAATAGGTATCCTTTTCCCGGGCTTGTTTTTGTTGGGTTTGTTGAAGATCAGATTGTCGTAGGTATGTGGCATTTTTGCTGGGCTATGTGTCTAGATTTGTGTCTATCTTTGTATGCTGTTTTGGTTCCCATAGCCTTATAGTATACTTTGAAATCAGATAACATGATGCCTCCAGCTTTGTTCTTTTTGCTTAGGGATTGCCTTGTCTATTTGGGCTCTTTTTAAGTTTCGTATAAGTTTTTAAATAGATTTTTAAAAAACATTCTGTGAAGAATGTCATTGGTAGTTTGTTAGAAATAGCATTGAATTTGTAAATTGCTTTGGGCAGTGTGGCCATTTTAACAATATTGAATCTTTCTATTTGTGATCATGGAATATTTTTCCATTGTTTGTGTCCTTTCTGATTTATTTGAGCAGTGTTTTGTAATTCTCATTGTAGAGATCTTTCACCTATCTGTTTAGCTGTATTCCTAGGTATTTTATTCTTTTGTGGCTATTGAGAATGGAGTCGTATTCTTGGCTCTCAGCTTGGATGTTGTTGGTATATAGATATGCTACTGATTTTGGTACATTGATTTTGTATCCTGAAACTTTGCTGAAACTGTTTTTCAGATATAGGAGCTTTAGGGCAGAGACTATTTGGTTCTCTAAGTAGAGAGTCATATTGCCTGCAAACAGATAGTTTGACTTCATGTGTTCCTATTGGATATGTTTTCTTTCTTTCTTTTGCTTGACTGCTCTGGGTAAGAACTGCAGTGCTATGTTGAATAAGAATAGCAAGAGTGAGCATTCTTCTCTTGTTTCAGTTCTCAAGGGGAATATAGTCAAAGTATTTTTTAAAAAATATATTTCCAAACAATGAAAATATATTTTCTGCCTTGACTCTACCATTCTTGTTGAAATGGCCATTGCAGTAGATATTTCTCCTGAGATAGGATAAAAGAAGATCAATTTTATTCAAGAAACTCAAGATTGCCCTCCAATATTTTTAATTTTTTAATAAAAGGGTCACTTTTATTCTGTAGGATAATAATTTATTTTATTTTGTTATGTAGTAAATGATATCAATGCATATGCTAATAATGTGACAAAATAAGAAAAAAAAATGAAGAGGTCAAATGGTTAAAACCCCATAGTAAAGAGAACATTTAGAAATCAGGCAGAAAAAAATAACATATTACATGTGAAGAAAAATGTAGAATACCTGCTGACTTTGTATTGGG
Source organism: Homo sapiens (assembly GCF_000001405.40). Lineage (NCBI taxonomy): Eukaryota > Metazoa > Chordata > Mammalia > Primates > Hominidae > Homo > Homo sapiens. The sequence continues at coordinate 57,361,804 of NC_000002.12, forward strand.
AATAAAGCAATTCAGAAGACAATAAAACAATAACTTTAAAGTGATAAAAAGTATGTCGACACAAATGCAACAACACTTCCCTAAAGGGTCTATTATGCTGTTGAAAATCTTTCAAAGGCAAAATAAAGAAAATTTGTCTCCAGCAGGTCTGTATTATAAGAAATGTTACAATAAATTCTTCAAGTGGAAAGCTAAAGGTAGCAGATGGAAACTTGCTTCTATACAAAGGAATAAACATTATTTAAAATGGTAAACAAATGGAAAGAAGAAGATAATATTTTTTTCATTTGATTTCCTTAAAACGGAATTAACTGTTTAAAGCAAAAATAGCAACAATGTAGCATGTTTTATATCATATGTAAAAATAAAAGAAGAGATAATAGTAGTACAAAAAAATGCAAGAGGGTACTAAAAAATGTTGCTAATTTTTAAAAATATTTCCCATGTAGTGGAATAATATTATTTGGAGGATAATGTAATAATTTAAAGATGTTTACTGTAAGCATCAGAGAAACCAGTAAAATTAAAGTATAGGACTATCAGTCAAATAAAGAAAATAAAATTGAATACGGCACTGAAAGTTATAATACTGAAAGCAGACAGGAAAAGAAAGATAAGGAATAAAGAACAGATGGAATACATAGAAAACAAATAGCAAGACAGTAGACTTAAACACCAATATATTGATGATTATATTAAATACAAATAAAAATAGTCTTTCGGACTGGATATTTTAAAAAAGGAGACCATCTATATGCTATTACAGGAAACACACTTAAAATAAAAATACTGATAAATTAAAACGAAAATAATATAAAATATACATCATGTAAATACTAATCATGAGAAAACTGAGGCTTCGTTAATAGTACCCCAAGTAGATCTCAAAAAACAAATATTACTAGGATAAAAAATACATTTTATGATGATAAAACATCTATAAGTCAAGATGAAATAATTATAAATATATAATGCTTGATAACAGTGTATCAAAACAACATGAGCAAAAACAACAAAATTGAAGGAGAAATAAATGCATCTGAAATAGTTATTGGTGATTACAACAATCCTCTCTCAATACTAGAGAAAAGCAGTAGACATAAGTTAATAGGAAAATGTAAGACCTGAACAGCACTATCAAATGAATTTACACAATTAAATTTTTTAGATCTCAACACTCAACTATAGCAGAATATACATTCTTTTCCAGTGAACATAGAACATTCACAAATATCCATACACTAGTTCATGAAATAAAACTCAACAAAGTAAAGCAAAAATAGAGTTAAACTATAGCTGTAATTTGTAAGAAAAAGATACCTAGATGAAACACAAGTATTTGTGAATAGAAAAAAAAATTACAGTAAGAAAGGCCAAGGGACAAAGAAGAAATCACTAAGGACATTGGTAAATCTGTTAAACTTAATGATATTGAAACACAAATGCCAAACTTTAGGAATAAAATTAACACAGTACTTAGAGGGAAATTTATAAGTTAAAAAATGTGTATTAAGAAATAATAAGGTATAAATCAGTTATCTCAGACATATGCAGCTGGAAAAGGAGTAAAACCACCATTAGTAGAAGAAATGGAATGATAAGGTTAAAGCAAACATTACTAAAATACAAAACATAAAAGAGAAAACAAATGACACTAAAAGCTTTTCTTGGAAAAGATTAATAATATTGACAAATATCTATCTAGACTGATTAATAAAATAAACATCTAAATGACCAACAACAAATTATTCTTGTTTGCAGATGACATAATCTTGTATTTAGAAAAATCTAAAGACTCCACCAAAAAACTAGGAGAATTAACAAACAAATTCAGTAAATTTGCAAGGTATAAAATCAATATATAAAATCAATATCGTTTCTATTTGCCAAGAATGAACAATCTGAAAAAGAAATTAAAAAGTAATCCTATTTACAATAGCCACACACAAAATTAAATACCCAAGAATTAACCAAAGAAGTGAAAGATCTCTATAATGAAAACTGTAAAACACTGATGAAAGAAATAAAAAATGACACCAAAAACTAGGAGAATATTCCATGTTTGTGTACTGGAAAAACTAATATTGTTAAAATGTCCTTACTACCCAAAGCAATCTACAGATTCAATGCAATCCCTATGAAAATACCAATGACATTCTTACAGAAACAGAAAAAACAATCTTAATATTTAAATGGAATCACAAAAGACCCAGAATAGCCAAAGCTATGCGAAGCAAAAAGAACAAAATTGGAGGAATCACACTATGTGACTTCAAATTATGCAACAGAGCTATAGTAATCAAAACAGCAGAGTACTGACATAAAAACAGACACACAGACCAATAAAAAGGAACAGAGAACCCAGAAACAAATCCACACACTTTCAGTGAATTCATTTTTTGACAAAGGTGCCAAGAACATACATTTTATTGTTAGCCTCTTCAATTAATAGTCTGGGAAAACTGAATATCCATATGCAGAAGAATGAAACTAGACCCCTCCCAATTCTCTCTCCATATATAAAAATCAAATCAAAATAGATTAAAAACTTAAATCTAAGACCTGAAACTATGAAACTAATACAGAAAAACATTGGGGAAAATCTCCAGGGCATTGGTCTGGGTAAAAATTTCATAAGCAATACCAAATAAGCACAGGCAACCAAAGAAAAAATAGACAAATGGAAACATATCAAGTTAAAAAGCTTCTGTACTACAAAGGACACAGTTAACAAAATGAAGAGACAACCCACAGAATGGGATAAAATATTTGCAAACTACCCGTCTGTCAAGGGATTAATAACCAGAATATATAAAGAGCTCAAACTACCACCATAATAGAAAAATCTAATAATCTGATCAAAAATGGGCAAAATATTTGAATAGATATTTCTCAAAAGAAGACATACAAATGGCAAACAGGCATATCAGAAGGTGCTCAACATCATTGATCCTCAGAGAAATGCAAATCAAAACTTCAATGAGATATTGTCTCATCCCAGTTAAAATGGCTTATATCCAAAAGATGGGCAATAACAAATGCTGGCAATAATGTGGAGAAAAGGCAAACCTTGTACACTGTTGGAGAGAATGTAAATTATTACAGCCAGTATAGAGAACAGTTTGGAGATTCCTCAAAAAACTAAAAATTCAGCTACCATATGATCCTGCACTCCCACTGCTGGGTATACACCCAAAAGAAAAAAAAAATCAATATATCAAAGAGATATTTGCACTCCTGTGTTTGTTGCAGGACTGTTTACAACAGCTAAGATTTGGAGGAAACTGAAGTGTCTCTAAATAGATGACTAGCTAAAGAAAAGGTGGTACATATACACAATAGAGGACTATTCAGCCATAAAAAGGAATGAGATCCAGTTGTTTGCAACAACATCAATGGAACTGGAGATCCTTATGTTAAGTGAAATAAGCCAGGCACAGAAAGACATACATTGCATGTTCTCACATATTTGTGGGATCTAAAAATCAAAATAAACTCAAGGACATGGCGAGTAAAAGGAAAGTTACCAGAGGCTGGAAAGGATAGTGAAATAGTAGGGGGATGTGGGGTTGGTTAATGGGTACCAAAAAAAAAAAAAAATCAGAAACAATAAATAAGACCTAATATTTGGTAGCACAACAGGGTGACTATAGTCAATAATAACATCATTGTACATTTTAAAATAAGTTAAAGATTGTAATTGGAATGTTTGTAACTCCAAGCATGCTAGAGGTTAGGAAAACTCCTTTCTCCATGATGTGCTTATTTTATATGCATGCCTATATCAAAACATCTCATGTACCCATAAATAGTAGAGTACACCTACTATGTACCCACAAAAAGTAAAAAAATGAAAAAGACAAATATCAAAAATTAAAAAGGGAACATTACTGTAGATTATAAACATATTTTTTAAAGTTAGAGAATATTAAAAATTCCATTATAAAAATGAGGTATCAAAAAATGCCCAATGCAAAGAAATGAGGAAAAGAAAATATGAAATACATTGGGAAACAAGGAAAAGAGAAACAGAATGATATACCTAAATATAATTTTTCAGGAATTTCATAAATAAATATTGTCTAATTCATCAAGGTTCAACAACCTAGATGAAATGCAAAACAGTTTCAAGATATCATTATTAAAATATATTTAAGAATACACGCAAAATCAATAGCCTAGAAATATATTAAAGATACTGAATTCACAACTAAAAATTCATATAAAGTTAATCCCAAACCTTGGTCACTTTACTAGGAAACTCTATGAAATATTTAAGAAAGATATAATAACAATTCTACTAGGAAGTCAGAAAATACAGGAGAAAATAACACTTTCCAGTACATTTTACTAGACTACTGTTATCCTAATACCTAAAGCAGAGAAAAATATTGTAAGAAAAGAACATTGTAGGCAAACTTTCTCATGAATATAGAAGCAAATATGTTTAGAAAAATAATAACAAATTGTATCCAGCAGAGTATAATTTATTTTAGCAATGAAAGATCAGTTAACATTGGAAAACTAAATCAATTTAATTTACCACATTAACAGAATAAAGGCCATAAGTCATTGTAATAGATGCAGAGAAAGCATGTCAAAATTATAAACCCATTTATGTTAAAAACTTGAAGAAACATAAGAACAATGAAAAACATCTACCGCAGAATTAAGAAGAAGGCAACTAAATTGGCTATTCATTTTTTAAAAAATAAAAAAGGAAAGAAAACACCAAAACTTTGATCTATAACTCATGCCAGACTCCCCAAAACCAAATATTATTTTTAAAAAACTATAAAACTTCCTCTAGAAAACATAATATATAATTTCTGCAAAAAAGTTAAGGGAAAAATGTTAACTTGCAAATTGAATATCAAAATTTAAATTTTGCACTTTAAAAGACAGCATTAAAAATTAAAAGGCAAGTATTTATAATACTTATTTCAGTTGAAAGACTGGTATTCAAGATTACATATATTTTAACTTATACGGCCTAAAATAAAAAAGCAAACAACTTAACTAAAAATGTTCAAAATATAACCAAAGGATATCAGGAAGATATTTTTCTGTAATACAACTGTTTTATATCTTGATTACGGTATTGGTTACAAAACTGTGTGCTTTATTAAAATTCATTATATGCCAAAGCAAATAAATTTCAGTGTATGTAAATATAAAAATTAATCAAAATATTTTAACAGTTTCTTCCAAAAAAAGTAAGCCAATAAATACATGAAAGGATGTTAAACATCATTACAACTAGGAAGATACAAGTTAAAACCCCCTACACAGGCTACAATTAAATTTAAATAACTAAAAATACCTAGTGTTGATAAGAATGTTTTACAGCAACTGGAATTTTTACTCATTGCTGTTCAAAGTATAAAATGGTACAACCACTATAGAAAATAATCAGTTCACGAAGAATTGCATATACACTTACTAAGTGACACAGTATTTCAACTCATGAATATTTAGTCAAGAGATATAAAAATTTGTATTTATGGAAATTCTTGCACTTAACCATAATGCTCCTTATTCACATTGGTCCCACCCTAAAAGCAATCAAATGTCTATAGCCTGAGGAATGGATAAACAATTTGTGGAATATACAATGACATACAGATCAGCAATTATAATTAATAAACTACTTATTATGCACAATATGTATGATCCACTACAACATCATGTCCAGTGATAGAAGCTAAAAACAAGAGTCCATACTGTAAACTTTTGTATATATAGTAGACTAGAAATGGCAAAACTAAACCATAGTAATTTGCTAAGAAGGTAGATCTTATGTTGAGTTCTTTCACAATAATAATTTAAAAATAATAAATACATTAAGTAAGCAATAAATAATAATAATAAATCAAGAAGGTGAGAGGAAACATTGGGGTGATGGATTTGTTTATGGCATTGACTGTGATAATGGTTTCACAGCTGTATATTTATCTCCAAACTCATCAAGTTGCACATATATTAAATACGTACAGCTTTTTAATGTCAATTATACCTCAGTAGTGCTTACAAACATACACACACATAAGAAGGCACATTAGTGATTTCCAGGAGCCTGGAGGTGAAAAAATAGGGTAGAAGCAAGGGTTGTGGGAGGATGACTGAAAAGGGAACAAGCAAACTCTCTGGAGGGATGAAAATATTCTACATCATGACTGTAGTGATGGTTATAGAAAGGTATAATTTTTCTATTCAAGACTCATTAAACTGAATGTTTAAAACAAATGCATCTTTTTGTGTACTATATACCTTAATAATGTTGATCAAAAAGAAAAATGCATAGAATATATATTTCTAACACAATTCTAACACGTCTGCTACACGTGGCACATACAAAATTAAAGAAGAGTTTACAGAAAATATTTGTCAAGGAGCGGTCTAGCCTCCTGAAGGAAAAAAAAAAAGAGAGAGAGAGAGATAATTTTAACCAAACATTGAAGATTGGAGAAATGACTGCTAAAGATGGAGAAGTATTGATATAATGACAGAAAACTGGCTGTAAATTGGCAGAATTAAAGGTGAGTAATGGTGAATCACAGGTGTTCAGGAAATTGCACATATCACAGGTGATGAGGATGACATTTCAAGTGAGTAGGTGTTGGGAATCTTTAATCCCAGCTGAAGTCCCTCAGAGCAGCAGGCCCCTTGCTAGTGCTATTTGTTGGAGGTGGCAGCTCTGGAGCTGTTTCCTTAGGATCCTTTAGTCTGTTTTTTTCCAGATATAACCACTATCACTTTCAAGGAGGCCAAAAAAGTGCCAGGCCACATAACTGCTTCCTGTTTACATGGACACCCCAGCTTTAATATTAACCCTTGACCCATAGCCCATTTTTATTACCAGGGAAGCCTTTGGTATCAGAAAGAAGCCAGGAGAGCAATTAAGAGAGCAAGATGTCACCATTGTTATCAAATTATAAAATAATCACCCCAAATGAGAGTAATACATTTTTTAGAGTTTCCTCCCATGTAAACAGACCCATCAGGTGTAAAGGTAAACCAAACTAGATGTATATTTATTGTATACAAATCGATCACATAAGCCACTTGGAAACACAAAAGTATGTATTAGTTAAAAATCCAGGAACAAGAATATTGTATATATTTTTTAAATTTACCTCCCATGACTACAATTTGTGTAAACCTCAAATCCTTCCCAAGGTGAAACTACGTAAGAAATGTCTACTATTAAATTATCAAGAAGCACAAACATCAAGAAAAATGTTGACAAATCTGATGCATTAAAACTTGAATCACCTATAATATAAAGGACAACATAAAAACATTAAAGATTAACCAGAAAAGGATTTTTAAATAGGATTTTAAAACTCTTCTAAATTGTGACCAAGATAGCCAGCCTTAATTTTTCCCTCAGCTTGATAAAACTTCAGACAGATTTCTTCCCAACTATAGGCTCCTGGACTTCCCTTTTCTTTGAGGATTTACTTTAGAAAACTTGCAACTGTAAATTATTTCTAGCCTCTTTGAGATGTAAATCTTCTTCTAGCTTCTTGCAAGCTTTACACACAAGAAATTTTCTAAAGAACCTGGGAGCTATCTTTTGAAATGTGATCATCAAAGGAGATAGTACCCTCCTATCCCCCAGTCTCTGTGTTGAAGTCTAACTTTGTTATGTACCAGTTAGCAAACACTGATGGCCTAATCACATTGACCAACCTTCCCCTAATTTCCCCCTGTACTTTCCACTAACTCATCTCTGTGCTTAAATTTCTCCTTCATTTTGGTTCAGCAGATTTGAATTTCATCTCTCTCCCTTATTGCAATATTCTTAAATAAAATCTTCCTTGCCTCTTTAACTTGTCTGGTGCAATTTTTCTTTGACAGACAATAAGAAAATGATAAATGATGCAAAAAGAAAATGGTCAAATAAGTTCTTCCAGAGAAAGTGTGAATTACCACTAAGCACAAGGAAAAAAGCTCAATCTCCTTAGGAAAACATAAATTAATAGGACAGTGGCATATAATTTATCAATCTAAAGATTTGAAAAATTTTAAAAGTCCAAGGATATAAATAAATTACTCAGTTGATTTTAGAGTAAGTAGATACAATTACCTTGAGGGTAATTTTACAAGATTACATTAAGGTGAAAAGGCCCATATTCTAATTCCAGCAATTCCACTTGTAAGTATGAACATTAGAGAAATTTTTACACATGCAAAATAAGAGCTAAAAGAAATGTGGAAGAATATACAAAGATATTCATTCAAAAAGTGGGAAAAAATCTAAATGTCCATCAATAGAATACTGGACATTATACATTCATAGCATTGAATATTATACTGTAGTTAAAATCAACTACATTTACCAATATGGAGAGCTTGCAAAATCATAACAGGGACTGAAAAAATGTTTAAGAAAGATAATTGTATGATAGTAAATATAAGAATTTTTTTTGAGATAGGGTCTTGCTGTATTGTCCAGGCTGGGGTGCTCACTCAAACTCCTGGGCCCAAGTAATCCTACTGCCTCTGGCTCCCAAGTAGTTAGGACTACAGGCACAAGTCACTGAGCCTGGCTAATTTTTTTTTTTTTTTTTTTTTTTTTTTTTGAGACGGAGTCTCGCTCTGTCGCCCAGGCTGGAGTGCAGTGGCGGGATCTCGGCTCACTGCAAGCTCCGCCTCCCGGGTTCACGCCATTCTCCTGCCTCAGCCTCCCAAGTAGCTGGGACTACAGGCGCCCGCCACTACGCCCGGCTAATTTTTTGTATTTTTAGTAGAGACGGGGTTTCACCGTTTTAGCCGGGATGGTCTCGATCTCCTGACCTCGTGATCCGCCCGCCTCGGCCTCCCAAAGTGCTGGGATTACAGGCTAATTTTTTTTTTTTAATTTTTTTGTAAAGACAGAGTCTTGCTATGTTGCTTAAGATGGTCTTGAACTACTGGCCTCAAGTAATCCTCCTGCTTCAGCCTGCCAAAGTGGTGGGATTACAGGCATGAGCCACCATGCCCAGCAAATACATGAATTTTAAAATCCTGCCAAGCATATTAATAATATTCACAAATACACCAATTTTATTGAAAATTACAAAAAACATTATGAAAAAGACAACCAGTGAATTTATTACAGTAGTTATTTACACCAGTGAAGCAGAGTGGGAAATATGGCTTTGTAGTGGTCTTATAGGAATAACTGAAGATGACTCAAATGACCTTGCTATAGCAAGGGAGTCAGCCATCATCAGTTACATTTAGCAGAGACTCAAATGCAGACAGAGCAGCATGAAAACTTCATAGTAGAAAAGAAGAAAAGACTTCAGGCATGCCCTGATTGGAGGCTATTGCCATAAAAAAGCTGTAGGCTAGCTAACTAGAATCAAGATATTATATGTGATTGTTTAAGGAAGCATATTTAGCTTTCTCCAGCTGGTCCTAAGTTGAAAGCTGACATAAAGTTTAGGAAAGCTGTCAATTATTAACCCATTTATCCCGGAGGTTGCAATTTTTTTTATTTTTTTGCATGAGTGAAAAATCAGACCTTGGCGATGACCTTGAGCAGTAAGATATAAATAACTCCCACATGCTTAGTGTTCCAATGGAACACTAGGCATGAATCAAGCCCTGGCCAGTTGCTACAGGGATTTATTTTTGGCTTCCTGGACTGGTTGCTGTGGATAGTGCTTTGTCTACTGAGCTGGTTGCTTCAAGTCATGGGTCAGAATTGTATTTTTATTACGGTTGGATCATTGTTGATTTGTATATTTAGTCCATTATGATGTAAAGTTTTATTTATTAAGGAAGACTCACAGTATTCATATAAGACAAAATGCAATTCAAAATATTTAAAGCAAAAAAGTATAATTTTATATTAGTAAAAATAAAATATAAAATTAAGATATAACCATATACATTATGGTATTTTTTTGCATTTGCTGAACATTATCATTTATATGCTTGTACATGTAAGTACAATTTCTAAACTAAAACTATAGATGTTTTTCTAAAATGCTAATTCTTAAAACATGCAGCTGAAGATTGTCTTGACACTCATAGTACACACTATTACATAATCAAAAGAAAATATTACTAAGATATAATTCATAAATGAGAATTATAATTAGGACTGGGTATTGCAACTGTTGTATTATGTTTTTCAAACATTTGAATAATTTTATTTTTTCAATTTATGGAGCAGAAATCTGTGATATTACATATTATGAACAGCTGTTAGATACATGATTGTTTTGCTTCTCATCTACTATTGTAAGGATGTGTATATATAGTAGTACTTTTTTAAAAAGAGAAATAGAAAACCTTTATGTAGTAAAGGCAACTATTAAGGACCAAAGGTATCTATCTACTTGTAAAATGCAATGTTTCCTGGAAAGATCTTATTATCTAGCTCAAAAGCTAGTATATTTTCATATTTGAAGGAATATTATAGCCCATTTTGATTCCTTACTTGAATTCATTTTAATGTCACAAACTTTCTTTAAAGAAGGAATGTCAGGGGTTGTTGTTGAGGAAATCATTTTATTTTATAGAGAAGTGACTGATTTGAGAAGTGGGAGATAAAGGCTTGCTAATGGTGGTTTTTTTAAAAAAGAATCTATCTCAGATGCTTGGTTTGATTGAGAAGATAAGTGTGGATGACTGCTATTAATCTTTGGAAAATTTTTGTCAGTTTCATTTTTAGGGGGACAATGGCTAGTCATACAAATGGTATGTATTAACAGAGATTGAAAAATATCTTCTCCCACTAACTCAGCTTCAAAATCAGGTCAGGTTGTTCTGTAAATGAAAACCCCACAAATGCTGTTTCTCTTATCCTCTTCTTTGGCTAAATCAGGACTCTAGACTTCAAAGCTAAAAATGTAGTCTTTTTCAGGAGTAATACAATCAGTGCAGATAAAAGTGAAAGTCACAGATTAGCCTCTTCAAACTTTAAAACTTAAGATGAAAAGACACATTTTAAATTTTATGGACAGTAAAATGTTGCACTAATCATGGAAATTTGACCTATAGGTAAAATTTTCTTTGATGTGTTTGTTTTAAGAGCAGTAAGCTAAGTCATGTAGTCATTAAACTGAGATAAGCCGAATGAGTTTGCTTTAATAAAGGTTCTAGGTAGTCTCTACAGATCTGTTTAAAAGTTGCAGTACATCTTTACTAACGTGTTCTTGGCATATCCTAGTTGACCAGCAAAAACCTGCTAAAATAAGCTTTAAAGACAATTTATATCCTTGTACACCACTGCTGAGTGCGTGTCTTGTAAATCTTTAGACTGGCCATGTTTTTCACTTATATCGTATCCCCTGTATAGAAAAGATTATCTTTTTACATGTTGAGCATCTTCTTTTAAATCTTAGGGAATTATAAGGAATAATACTTTTTAAGATGCCCATGCCCTCAAGAGTCTCAAGTACAGTATGGGAGCCAAATTGGTAAAGTCATAGTTTATAAGGTGTATTCTATAGGGAAGTAAGTGCTGTTTTAGAGTTTATAATATCATATATAACAAAATCACTAACTTTCTTGGAGAACTGACTAAGGCTTTGCAAAGAAAGCAAATTTTAATATGAATTTGGAATTACTAAAGTGATCAAAAAGAAATTTAAAAGAAAATTTAAAAAAAGAATCTTTTAGACAGAGGCAAGAGCACAGTCCAGAAAGGAATGAAAGGTCATAGAGTATTGAGGAAGTTCAGATAGGCTGGGGCATAGAACCTATAGCTGAAGATAGATTGTGGTAGACTTTCTGTGACAAAGAATCGGAACAGTGGCTTGTAGACAATGAGGAACCAATAAACAGGATCAAATTTCAATTTTTTTGGTATATTTTTGAAAACAATTAGCAGTGGCGTCATGAGTTATGAGTGGGGAATTAGCCAGGAGAATGAGAAATATGTGTCAGGAAGTTATGAGGCTGCTGCAGTGATGAGTAATCGAATACCAAAGCCCATTAGATAGGGAGGAAATAATGAATCCAGCCTCCATTTCTGAGGTCATCATTAGTGACTGATAGTCATGGATGGGAGAAAGAAATTGGAGATGAAGATTCTAATTTAGAGAAGGACAGTGGTACAAATAGTCAAGATAGAGGAAACTACAGGAGGAGTGACTAAGAGAGCTGGGACAGAGAATGAAAGTAGAAATAAACAAGTCCTTTACACCTGGTGATTCTGCAAGGTCCTACGAGACATAAGAACGGAGATATTCATTAAAGAGTTACAAATGTGGGTTTAGGTCTTGACCCATAAGTCCATAAATTTAGCACTTGATATTCTGTCAGCTGAAGAGCACACCTAGGAAGAGTATAACAAATGAGCAGAGAAAAGGTCAGAAATAAAACTCTAATGGATAATGACATTTGAAGGCATATGGAGGAAGAGAATACAAAAAATACTAAGAAAAAGTAACAAAAATAGAAGTTGTTGCTAGTGATGATAGTCTTCTGAAAGCCAAAGGAGATCATATCTAAAAGTCCAAAGTCCACATTGTCAAATGACAGCACATGAATCATAATGTTGCCATGTTAAAATACTTTTATGGTTATTTTGTTAAATTTTTATTGTATTTTCAAAAAACCAGGTGATGAGTAAGTACTAAAAGTGCCTTTACTGTTACAATGCCTTTTTCTTTTATCTTGCCCACAAAATAATGAATGTTATATTTAACATTTCTGTTTCTTTTGGTTTTTAACTTAGCTCTGTGTAAGGTAGAGATTGCATTTGACAGAGTAACAGAGTACCAAAATATAATGGCCTTAATATTCAAATATTTAATGTCTCATGTAAAGTAGCCCTCTCCAGTTTGCTACATTAGCTTTATGGTATTGTGGATCTGGCTCTTTGATCTAACAGGGTGCCTCACCGTCTTACAATGTGGCATCCATTCTCAAAGTCAGGATAATGGCTAAGGCTCTGGTCATCACATCTGACATAACAGTTTAATTTTTAAGCAGGGCAGAAGAGTAAAAATGGTGCTCCTTCCAGTTGACTAAGATCCCTTTAAAGAACCTTCCCAGAATTCCCTCCCAATACTTAATGTTTATTTGACCACATCTAGCGCAAATAAGATTGAAAATTTAGCCTTTATTTCTAGCAGTAACGGGTCAAAGTAGTATTTGTAGTCTAGCAAAGATAATAGATGTTCACTAGGTTACTAGCTGTCTTTGCCAGGAGCTCCTGAAATATGGACGAGTTTGGCTAGTTTAAAAAATAAAATGTAAAACTATTCAAATGTGGTCGTGTCCTTTACTCAAGTAACTAATCGTCAAGTGGAAAAACATATGTACATACAAAATACAGAAGCAGCATTCTTGCCATGAAGAAGATACATAAAAAGTGCAATGGGAAATAGTAGAAAAGTGATCCCTGATGGAATATAAATTTTCTGAGTGGCTAGTAATGGGACAGGATCAAAGAGGATGAAATACTTTTTCAGGCAGAGAAAATGACATGTGATAAAGCATCAAAGCATTGCTTGGTGAGAATAACATGGAATCTCAGGAATTGAAAGCAAATTCAAATATACATTCAAAGCTAAAATTAACTTAGAAAGCTAGGCACTTGGGGTGCGTGGAAACTTGTAGGTGCTGAGTATCAGCTACTGAAGAATTTTACGTGAAAGCTACCCCTAAAAACTGTAAGACAAATTATTTAGTAAAGTCCTGAGTGGCACTTGTATTTGATTTGTTAATTTGCTGGAAGTTCTTATGCTTCTCTAAGAAATAAATTGCTATAGGCATTTTACCAAAGAGGAAGATAAAGATGTTTGCTCTTTCAGTTTTATAAATCTTCATGTATTTGAAGAAGGTAAGATATTAAATGTATTTTAGTTGTATATTAAATTTTACCCCAAATGACAATATTAAGACTATGTGTAGAGAAATGTAAAAGATTTTCTTAGAAAAATTAATGTTTAATCAGATTTATTTTTTCACACTATATGAAATTTGATTTTCTAAATTATTTTACTTATGAGCTCTGGTACTTTTATTATTGTCATTGCTTTAAGTATTTTATTAAATTATTGATTTTCTGATGTTATTTCATTAATTATTCATCTCTACAAACTAATAAAACTAGCGCTAACATTTACTAACTTAACCTCTCAACAAGCTTCTGTGACAGATACCATTACAATGACAAGTTTACAGACTAAAAAATGTTACACATTGTATATTCTAACCTTTCTTTTTAAAAATAGGGAGAGATAACTTTCTGAGTAATTATTAGCAATTCATAAACCCTGCTGTTTACCACAAAGTCTGCACCAAAGTATTTTAAAGGAAGATGAGTTTTTTCTTTCCATGAATTAGTTATATTTATAAAAACAATTTCAACCATTGTTTGAATTTGAAATTGTAATCCAAAGAAACAGAATTATACAATAATGAAATCAGCATAGTTTTTTATTCCTTGATTCTGGGAATTAAATTGTGCTTATCCAAACTGGTTTATGAAATTTTAATTTTTCTCTCCTGTGTGTCTTTTTCCTAGAACTTACAGACTGTACTTTAAAGAACATATGACATACTTATTATTTTAAAAATTGAAACATTCTGAAAATCACATTAAAGAAGTGTAACATCATTTGTAAATGTAATATGAGATTACTTAACCAATTCTTATAGTACAACTCTTTCCATATATGTATGTATGTGAGTGTGTGTGTGTGTATATATATATATATATATATATATACTTTTAAATAATCACATATTATTTTAATTTTATTTTTTGTTTAGAATCTTAGGATAATTTTCACAAGAATGTAAATATTCCTTCAATGCATTTTAAGAGTTGCCAATGTAGCATCAAGGGGAAGAATAACATAATCTACATACTTGTTCCAAGTGTTCATTTTTTGTTGTTATAAATGGTTCTGTTACTTTAAAGTAGTCCTGGAGAAGCAGGATAATAAAACCTCTCTCCCAACTAATCTATCTATACTAAAAATATAATTTGAAGTGGCAGAAATATACACTGGCATTAATCAAATTATTGAGACATTTTCTCATATTAGAAAGTCATCCCTAAATTAGAAAAAATTTTAAAGTCAATTTGTTGTTTTCACTCCATACATCTAGAATTAGAATATGTAGAAGGGGATATTAAAGAGAAGGAAATGGTGCATGGTCAAATTTCCAGAAGTCTCCAGCGAAGATTGGGTGGTTGAAAGAACCACATAAAATCTTCTTGCCATATTGCAAATAAGAAATTATATGGCTAATATTCATACTTCACCTTTTTTTTGGAAGGACGGAGGTCTGAAAGCATATACTAAATAAGCACCTAAGATGATTAGTTGTTTCAGAAACACAAAAACTTATTTCTACTCTTAGAAATGAGGTGGGAGAGTATCTAGAAAAGAAGAGCAATTCAAACAGAAGAGGGCACTCTCTGACCCAGAGTAGTAACTCTGGTGAGGCATGTTTAACAAAATTGTATAAATGAAAGAGGGGAAACCAGATCCATCCACTGTAATGCCCCACAACCTCCATAAAGGCAATTTACCTTAACTTTTCAGTAATTTATAAAAATAGAGTATAAAAGAAATTAACAGCCAGTCATCAAACTATAAATCTAAGAAGTCTTGCAAAAGGTTCACATAAGAAAACAGAAGCTACTAATCCTTTAACTGAGCTAAAACGTGGCCCAAAGACTTGTCTTTTTAGAAAATGAGTAGTTTGTAAGGAAAATAAAAAGGACTGTGACAAAAGACTACCAAAATTTTATCTTAGAAACAAATGAAGGAAAGGAAAGGAAAGGAGAGGGTAGGAGAGGGAAGGGGAGGGGAGGGGAGGAGAGGAAAGGGGAGGGGAGGACAGGAGAGGGGAGGAGAGGGGAGGGGAGGGGAGGGGAGGGGAGGGGAGGGGAGGACAGGAGAGGGGAGGAGAGGGGAGGGGAGGGGAGGGGAGGGGAGGGGAGGGGAGGAGAGGGGAGGGGAGGGGAGGAGAGATGAGGGGAGGGCAGGGGAGGGGCAGGGAGGGAGACAGGGTGGGAAGAAAGGAATGAAAGAAGCAAAGAAAGGAAGAAAAAAGGAGGAAAGGATATAAAAGACATTTTAGAAGGTGTACTACCAGAAACAATAACTTTTTACAGAAGAAATTCTTCAAACTTTTGACAAAATTAGAGAAATATGTTAAGACAGCAGAATAAAATGAAAAGAGAATTTTTGATCTATGATAACACATTGGGACTTTATACAACTAACTAATGTATAAGTTGGAAAAAATAATTAACAGAATAGATACAATTGAATACCAAATCAGTGCCATGAAAAATATTCATTTAAAAATTCCAAAAAGTGCAAAGAAAAAAAAATAAAGAAATTAAATTTTAAAAGACTCAAATTTCTAATTAATGCCTCCCAATAGAAAAAAAAAATGCGTAAGTCAGAAAAATATAATAGAACAGTTTTCTTAAATGGCTAAAACAATTAAATTTCAGATTGAAATGGAGCATTTCTTAGATATTCCTAGCAATATGTACGATAGAAGAAGCCACTCAGTAAAATAATTATGGTGAGGAATTTAATTATCAAAATGTACATGTAAGATTAAAATTGTGAGAATTTAAATACTATGTAAATTAAGTTCAAAATTATAGCCTAAGTATTTGCTAAGATCCCTCAAATCAAACAATAGGAAATAATATTGAAAAATATAAAAATAAATACATAACCATCTTGTATCTTGGGCTAGAAAATTAACGATGTCTTTATAGAAAACACTCAGAAAATCACCACATTGCATAGACTGCCACTACACTACCATAGGGACTATTGCTTAAATAACCAGGTTAAAGAGGCCGGCGCGGTGGCTCATGCCTGTAATCCCAGCACTTTGGAAGGCCGAGGCGGGCGGATCACGAGATCAGAAAATCGAGACCATCCTGGCTAACACGGTGAAATCCCGTCTCTACTAAAAAAAATACAAAAAACAATTAGCCGGGCCTGGTGGCGGGTGCCTGTAGTCCCACCTACTCTGGAGGCTGAGGCAGGAAAATGGAGTGAACCCGGGAGGCGGAGCTTGCAGTGAGACGAGATCCCGCCACTGCACTCCAGCCTGGGAGACACAGCGAGACTCCGTCTCAAAAAAATAAATAAATAAATAAAAATAAAAAATAACCAGGTTAAAGAATGATGTAATGATGTATGCCAGATGTGATAGTTCATACTTGTAATCCCAACACTTTGGAAGAAAGAGGCGGAAGGATTGCTTGAGCCTGGGAGTTTGAGACAAGCCTGAACAACATAGTGAGACTGTCTCCATAAGAAGGAAACAAAAAGAATGCTGTATTATCACTGGCAGTTATGGCCAATGAGACACAATTGGAAGTCTTCCGGATGGAGTTACTAGAAAAGCTACTGTTTCTCTGATTAAGGAGAATGACAAATGCCGGGGATGCATGTGTTTTGTCCCTTGCCCTTCTCTAATTTCTTCTGGAATATGATTCTAGTCTGAACTTGGATTGCCATCTTGACACCAAGACAATGAATCATTTAATTAGTAGAGTGGAACTCTTGAGTTCTAAGAGTCTGAGTTCTAGGTGATTACAAGAAAAGCTATGCCATTCAATAAACACAACTTTTTACTTATATTGATGTTAACTTTGGATTCAGTTACATGAAGATAAATGTAATTCCTAGAAATTAACTTTCTCAAGAAAATATAAGGGTAAGAATGCCTGTCAAAAATATGAAGTCAAATTCTAGAATAAGAACAACAATAAAAATAAATGTAAATTGGTTAATCACACTTTTTAAGTTTCTAAAAATGAATATTTTTTATCCATCTATATTATTGACAGATATTTTGGACAGCATTTTGGAAATATGAAATTTTAAGAGAAGACACAACATAGATATTAATCTAGGAACCAAATTAAATAGACTAAAAATAATCCATTAATAGAAAAAACTAAATGAAATATAACCTATTCATCATTGACTATAATGTAGCAGTTTAAACGATTATACTATATCCAAATATAGTATATCAACTCAAACAACATATAATAATTTTTAAACAATTTTATAACCTTATAAAATATACACACATGCAATATAGGTTTTTAAAACTTTCTAAATACTACGTATTTTATAATAATGTTACCCTTGAGGATTTACCTTATAGGTAACATTTAGAAATTTTTTACATTATACATTTATAAAAAACAAAATGTAAATATTGTGAATGTGGAATTAAAAGTTATGCTGTGAAAAATATATATGCAGCTATCTTGGAACAGGCCCCAGTGCTTACCAATAAACCTGGAATTAGCAGGAAAGGTTGGAGTAAATAAGTGTAAAATGTGTAGCAGTTCCTCTTGCAAATCATGCTCTGAAAAGAAAACATTACAAAATTTGGTGTTCAGAAACACAGATTCAAAAATACTATTTTAAATTGTCACATAAAACTATTTAAAACCGTAACTAGCAAAATTAAAAATTAAAAGTAAGAACACAGACTGATGAAATTCCTAGGAGAAATTCCTAGAACAAGAAAAAAAGGAAACACAAGACTTATCAATCACAAAACTTTAATTAATTAGTTAATTAATTAGAATTTAGAAAAATGGATTTATATCAACAAACACAGATGCTCCACTAGTAAGTAAGCACATCTTACAATTTAAAATAAATTAGAGTAAAGGGATAAAACATTAAGAATATCTCATATATACAAAAATACTTTTGTTGTTGTTGTTGTTGTTTTGAGATGGATTCTCGCTCTGTTGCCAAGGCTGGAGTGTAGTGATGCAAACTCAGCTCAGTGCAACCTCCACCTCCCAAGTTCAAGTGATTCTACTGACTCAGCCTCCTGAGTAGCTGGGATGACAGGCACATGTCACCACGCCTGGCTAATTTTTGTATTTTAGTAGAGGCGGGATTTCACCATGTTGGCCAGGCTGGTCTTCAACTTCTGACCTCAAGTGATCTGCCCACCTTGGCTTCCCAAAGTGCTGGGATTATAGGCATGAGCCATCGTGCCCAGCCAAGAAAAAGTAATTTAATAAAATCAAATTTATTCCTGAGTTTTAAAATTCTTAGTAAAATAAAAATATAGAGATTGTAAATATGGTAGAAACTTTTTATACCTATTTTATACCTGTACCTTCACCTATTCTCACATGTGCACCTTATCAATTTAAAATAAATGTTAAAACAGAGATAAGACTGACAGAATAGACTCTTTGTGGCAATAAGATACCAAGTTTTAAAAAGGACCTATGGCCTTGCCAGGCAAGGGTTAAGTCATGCATTCTACACTTAAAGAATAAACTATAACTCCCAAAAGGGTTTTTTTGTTTTTGTTTTTCTCTAGCTCCTAAACATGCATTGCCCTTGATATAAACAATATTAATGTTTTTTTCTTGTAAATTTGTTTGAGTTCATTGTAGATTCTGGATATTAGCCCTTTGTCAGATGAGTAGGTTGCGAAAATTTTCTCCCATTTTGTAGGTTGCCTGTTCACTCTGATGGTAGTTTCTTTTGCTGTGCAGAAGCTCTTTAGTTTAATTAGATCCCATTTGTCAATTTTGGCTTTTGTTGCCATTGCTTTTGGTGTTTTGGACATGAAGTCCTTGCCCATGCCTATGTCCTGAATGGTAATGCCTAGGTTTTCTTCTAGGGTTTTTATGGTTTTAGGTCTAACGTTTAACTCTGTCAGTGTGGTGATTCCTCAGGGATCTAGAACTAGAAATACCATTTGACCCAGCCATCCCATTACTGGGTATATACCCAAAGGACTATAAATCATGCTGCTATAAAGACACATGCACATGTATGTTTATTGCGGCATTATTCACAATAGCAAAGACTTGGAACCAACCCAAATGTCCAACAATGATAGACTGGATTAAGAAAATGTGGCACATATACACCATGGAATACTATGCAGCCATAAAAAATGATGAGTTCATGTCCTTTGTAGGGACATGGATGAAATTGGAAATCATCATTCTCAGTAAACTATTGCAAGAACAAAAAACCAAACACCGCATATTCTCACTCATAGGTGGGAAATGAACAATGAGATCACATGGACACAGGAAGGGGAAAATCACACTCTGGGGACTGTTGTGGGGTGGGGGGAGGGGGAGGGATAGCACTGGGAGATATACCTAATGCTAGATGACGAGTTAGTGGGTGCAGCGCACCAGCATGGCACATGTATACATATGTAACTAACCTGCACAATGTGCACATGTACCCTAAAACTTAAAGTATAATAAAAAATAAATAAATAAATAAAAAGAAAAAAAAATATTAAAATAATTTTCAGCTCCACCAGCTGTGGACTAACTGCACCCCTGTTTCACCAGCCATAACTACACTTTTCACTGGACAAGAGACTAATTTCAGTAACTTTCCCCTGATAAGAAGACCACAGACCATGGACTGTTTCTGGCCAGTTCAGAGATTGTGCATTTGCGTGCCTTCATGTCCTGAAAAGACCATTTAAGATATAAACCCCAATTATAATACATTTAAATGTTAAGTCTCCACCCCAAAGTGAACATGGGTCATATGTTTTGTGTGTTTTTCTTCAGTCTGCATCTGTCAGGACCACCTCCATCAATATTCATAGCTTCTCCTGTAACCTGTTGAATATATATGTTTAGCTAACCTGTTCTGCATAAAGCAAGCTTTTACCCCAATCCCTCCTCTTTAGAAGTGTCTGTTTCTGGTCTTGGCCTGAGGCATGCTCCCAGGCCTGCAGGTGGCCGCCTTGCAGGCCATAACCCTTTATAAGAAATAAAATCTCTTCTCCTTTTCTAAACTTATACATCTTGATTTTTTTAACAACCTCTATCTATACCTATTTCTATTATTTCATCACTACAGTCTACTCCCTATATGGCAGCTGAAGGATCTTTCCAAAACTTAATATTAGATTATTTAATGTGCTGATGATGTATTCATAATAACATTTTATCTCATTACTACAGTCAGTAAGGCCCCCATGTGATCCGTCCCTTGCCAAATTTCTCTGACCCCATCTCCTATCAGTCTCTCATAATTCATGATACTTGAATCACACTGAAAATAGTTCATTTTTTTCCCACAGGCCAAGAATCTTCAGCTTCTACTTCAAATGTACACTTACAAAGCTCCTGTTTCCACATAGTTGGCTGTTTCTCTTAGACTGGCAAAGATTGAAAAGTTTGGCAATAGCAAAAAACTTGCAAGTGCTTGGAAAATAGGTATTTCTATTCACTGCTGATGACATTGAAAAGTGGTGTAAGTCTTTGAAGGAAATTTAATGGTAATTATTGACATCTTAAAACCATATACCCCTTGTCGCAGAAATTTTATTCCTGGGAAGGTATTGAAAGTTTCTACCTATAAAGCACCCTATGATCCATACATAGAGATATTTATTGCAGTATGTTTATTGCAGAAAGCTGTAATGACCTAAGTGCCCATCAATAGTGAATTGGTTGCATAAATTATGGTATTTTCATATGCAGGAAACGATGAAAATATTTCTAAAGAATAAATAAGATAAAAGCCTTAATATAATAGTATGTATAGAATGATCATGTTTATATTTAAAGGTTAGTATATATGTGTGTGTGCACACATTCACATAAAGCAGTTCCAGATGATAACTTAAGAAAATATAAATAGTGTTTATCTCAGGGGTTTACAACAGGGAGACATCAGGTAAATGGAATGGAATTTTATTATTTCTAAACACTTCTCTACTGTTTGTATTTTTTTCACCTTTAATATCTATTCTTAAGGAACAAGTTTATCTATTAAACCCTGTACATATGGTGTATTATAAATAACAGAAGCATAATTGCTGAATACAAAGGTATTAAGTCATTTTGGTTTTTGCTATGTATTAAATGCTATGTACAAAAATTTGCTACTTATAAAGTTTGTGCCAAATTGTACTCCAAACAGAAGTATAAAATGTTTTCACTTTCCCAACATCCTTATCAGTTATCAATTATGGATGTTATCAGTTAACTATATACAAACACATCCTAAGTCATATGTGTATTTATATAGATATGTCATATCTATATATATATTCAACTTGAAATAATATTTTAACTTGTATGCTTATTGGGCTTTGAAAAAAATCACAAAAGCATTGGACATTTGCTTTTAAGACATTCAGTTTATAACTAATTCATAGCTTAGCATTATCCTTAGGTTGAAATAAATGGACTATTAAATATGATTGCATTTAATAACTGGAAGGTGAATATCTATTGGATTATTTTACTCCTTCAAATTATATTTCTGTATAATGCATAACATTCTCATTATATACATATGAATTGATTTTCCACAAATCTATGAATTACCTATCCAAATTTACATTCATCCCTCTGAGAAATAATAAAATATATAGTTTATTAGAAATGAGTAAACTGGTGGCTAGACTATAAACAAAGTGGTAAAACTATAAATATAGTGTACAGATATAAGCATCTTTTCAAATAGCTTCAGGATTACATTATTATTTTTAATTTATAAAGAAAGATATTAAATATCCAAGAAACAATTAATTCCATAAATGTATTATTATTGGAATTGCAGGGGTTTTGTGATATATTTTTCAAAATTGTGTGCTTGGATAATATTAAATAATTATTTACAGTCACTTCAATATTTTTAATTTTCTTTTTCTCAGGAAGCTCTAAATGTACTCACAGATTTTGACATTAATGACAATAACCATAAACATTTTGACATCTATGAAATAAGTCCCCAGAGCCAAAGGAGCCTGAATTTTCATGCCTTAGAATGAAGGAGCAACCTGAAATAACTGTATTTTGAATCAGTCTTTAAAAGTCAAATAATAAATGACAGGGAAAGGGATCATAGCATATGTACTCTCCATGGAAACTCTCTGCTCTTGATTTCATGAAGTTCCAAACAGGGGCAAACTGGCTATAAGGAAGGATGGCAGAGACAAGTACAGCAGTAATGACAGAAAATATTAATAAGCATTCTGACCTCAGGGAAAGCAGCTACCCCAGAAGGAAGCATAATTCTGGAAGAAATTAGGTTTCAAAATTGTACCTGCATGGCACTAAGTTGAGGATGCCAATTCCTCCTGTGTCCCTAAATATTCAGCCAGGAAAAACTGAAGCCTGTATTCACTTTGCAATTATATGCTTTCTTGCCTGAAAATCATGGTAGCAGTGACATGAACAGGAGACAGGGAAATACTGGGTAGAAGAGGGTGGTTTCCCAGTAAAGGCCCAATTGTCAAGCCTGAAGACCCACGGCCCTTTTGAGGACAGGCATTTCTGTTTTTGTGCCCAAAAAGTTGCTTTTTGGTCTTCTACACACCCTATCCTGCCGCCATATAAACTGGAGACCTTAGCGGGCACACACCAGCAGCTGGACATTGGAACCAGTAGCCCAGCGAAAACAGAACAACGCAGAAGACAAAGAGAGAAGAGGAAGGACGTCTGGACACCAAGGGGATTTTAGGCAGTGGTGGTTGGAGAACAGTCTGGCCGCTGGGCAACCCAACACCAGGGAAAGACCATCTTCCCACTCCATCTCCTCACTTCTGGCTCCCCATCCATCTCACTGATAACTGCCTCCACTACTCAGTAAAACCTTGCACTCATCCTTCCAGCCTATGTTTGATCTGATTCTTCCAGTACACTGGGCAAGAACTCAGGATACAGAAGGTTATCACACTATCCCACTGCCCTTGTGATAAGACAGAGGGAATACTGAGCTGATTAGCACAAACAGTTTGCAGATGGCAAAGCTGAAAAAGCACACTGTAACACATGCTCACTTGGGCTTTGGGAGTCAGAGACCTCCACCTCTAGCTGCTGTGGGGCCAGAACGTGTTTTCTTTGTCTTGTGTCTTGGATATCAGCTCAGCCACAGTAGAACACAGTCCTAATTAAAGTCATGAGGCCCCCATTTTGGCCATAGTCCCTGGATGACATTTCTAGGCACACACTTGGCCAGAATGAAACCCACTGCCTTAAAGGGAAGGACTCATAACCTGCTGACAGCCCTTGGGCCCAGAATAAGCAGTAGTACCCAGGAATTGCATTGTGGGCCTTGGGTCCAGGTGAGACCTGGCACATTCCAAGCTATGGTGGCTATAATGAGAGACTCCTGTTTGAGAAAAGCAGTGGGGAAGTAAGAGAGACTTTGTCTTGCACCTTAGGTATGAGGTCAGCCACAGGAAAGTAGAGGATGAAGTGGGCTATTGGGGTCTCAGCTTCTAGGCCTTGCCTCTTTCATGGCATTACTGAGCCTTCCCTGGGCCAAAAGGGAGCCCATTACCCTCAAGGGTGAATGCCAGGCCTGGCAGCATTTACCAAAAACACACTGAAGAGCCCTTGGGCTTGAAGTGAATATCATTGGTAAGCTGCAGTGCACCTCATGGGTCTGTGAAGGTAGTGGCCACAGGGTGAAGCTCCTCTGCCTGCAGAAAGAGGAAGGAGTAGTTGGAAGGGCTACATGTAATGGTTTGAGTGCCAACTCAGCCACAGTATAATAGAACACAGGTAGATTTCTAAAGTTTTTTACTCCAGACTGGGGCTCCTGGACAGCATTTCTAAACCTATGTGAGGTGTCAGGGGCCTTGTCACCCTTGAAGTAAGAAAACAAGCATGGCTGGCTTCCCCATCTGCTGATTGTAGAGCCTGAGGGACTTCAGTAAACACAGGCAGTGGCCAAGTAGTGGACACTGCAGCCCTTGGGCAAAACCCAGTTCTGTGCTGGCTTCATGTCTGACTCAGCACATGTTTCACTTATTTGTGAGATCTAAAAATCAAGTTGTGAGTGCTTGTGTCACCCCACCCACAGCTCCAGGTGGCTCAAAACAGAGAGAGAGACTCCTTTGTTTTGGGAGAAAATAAGAAAACAAGAGTCTCTACCTGGTAATCCAGAGAATTCTTCTGGATCTAATCCAAGTTCACCAAAGTATACCTCAATGAGTCTGGAAGAATCACAGCATTGCCCTTGGGGTGTCCTCTAAAGTAGATACAGCTTAGATCACAACAGCCAATTCCTTTTGAATGCCTGAAAAGGCTTCCCCAAAAGGACTGGTAGAAACAAGCCCAGACTGCAAAGACTACCACAGATACCTAACTTTTCAGTGATCAAACACCAAAAGCATAAAACCATCTAGGAAAGCATGAACTCATCAAATGAACTAAATAAAGCACCAGGGACCAATCCTGGAGAAATTGAAATACGTGATCTTTCAGACAGAGAATTCAAAATAGTTCTTTCAAGGAAACTCAATGGAATTCAATATAACACAAAGAAAGAACCTGGAATTCTAGCATATAAAATTAACGAAGACATTGAAGTAATTAAAAAGAATCAAGCAGAAATTCTGAAGGTGAAAAATGCAACTGATATACTGAAGAATCCACCAGAATCTTTTAATAGAATTAATCAAGCAGAAGAAAGAATTAGGAGGAGATGAAGTAAAAAAGAGAATAATACACAATGAAGCACACCTAAAATACCTAGAAAATAGTCTCAAAAGGGCAAATCTAAGAGTTGCCATAAAGAGGAGTTACAGAGAGAGATAGGGGTAGAGAGTTTATTCAAAGGGATAATAACTGAGAACTTCCCAAACCAAGATAAATATAGCAATATTCAAATACAAAAGGGTTATAGAACACCTAGCAAATTTAATCCAAATAAGACTAGCTCAAGGTATTTAATAATCTTAAGAGTCAAGTATAAATAATGGATCCTAAAAGCAGTAAAAGGAAAGAAACAAATAACATACCGTGGAGCTCCCATATATCTGGCAGCAGACTTTTAAGTGGAAACCCCAGGAGAGACTGGCATAATATATTTAAAGTGCTGAAGGCAAACATTTTATGCTAGAACAGTATATCCAGTGAAAATGCCCTTCAAACATGAATGAGAAATAAAGACTTTCCCAGACAACCAAAAGCTGAGGGGTTTCAAAAATACTAGACCTGCGCTATCAGAAAAGCCAAAGGAAGTAATTCAATCAGAATGCAAATGACATTAATGAGCAATAAGAAATCATTTAAGGTACAATCCTCACTGGTAATAGTAAGTATGCAGAAAAACACAGAATATCATAATACTGTAACTGTAGTGTGTAAACTACACCTATTCTAAGTAGAAAGACTAAAAGATAAACCAATCTAAAATAATAATGACCACAACTTTTCAAGACATAGACAATAAAATAAGATAGAAACAAAAAAATTTAAAACTACGGTAATAAAGTTAATGTGTGGAGTTTTTACGTTTTGCTTGTTGGCTTTTGCAAAGAATGTCATAATAAGCTGAAAACAATGGGTTATAATATAGTATTTTCAAGCCTCCTGGTAATCTCAAATCAAAAAACATACAACAGATATACAAAAAATAAAAAGAAATTAAATCACACTACCACAGAAAATCACTTTCATTAAAAGGAAAACTGGAAGGAAGGAAAGAAGGACAAAGAGACCACAAAACAGGAAACAAATAACAAAATAGCAAGAGTAAATAATTATTTATTAATAATAACATTGAATGTAAGTGAAATAAATTCTCTAATCAAAAGACATGGAGTAGCTCAATGGATAAAATAATATGGTCCAATGATCTGTTGCCTACAAGAACACACTTCGCCTAGAAAGACACATAGACTGAAAATAAAGGGACGGAAAAAATATTTCATGCCAATGGAAATCCAAATAGAGCAAGAGAAGTTAAA
The DNA here is from genome assembly GCF_000001405.40 of Homo sapiens. Classification (NCBI taxonomy): domain Eukaryota; kingdom Metazoa; phylum Chordata; class Mammalia; order Primates; family Hominidae; genus Homo; species Homo sapiens. Next base: position 57,388,492 of record NC_000002.12, read on the forward strand.
CTGATACCAGATAAAATATATTTCAAGACAAAAACTTAAAGAGGAGACAATAATGATAAAGGGTCAGTCCAACAACAGGATATAATGATTGTAAACACATATGGACCCAACTGCATCTATGGAAACCAGTTATATAGAGCAAATATAGAATCTGGTTATATAGAGCAAATATTCTTAGAGATAGAGAGATTAACCTCCATACAAATAAAGCTGGAGACTTCAACACCTCCCTTTCAGCATTAAACAGGTCATCTAGACAGAAACAACAAAAAAGCATTGCACTTAGTCTGCCCTATATAACATATAGACTTAATAGATGTATAGAGAACATTCCATCCGAATGCTCAACATCACTGATCATCAGAGAAGTGTAAATCAAAACTACAATGAGATATCCTCTCACCCCATTTAAAATGGCTTATATCCAAAAGACAGGCAATAAAGGCCTGTGAGAATGTGGAAAAAATGGAAGCTTTGAACACTATGGTGGGCATGTAAATTAACACAACCACTATGGAGAACAGTTTAGAGGTTCCTCAGAAAACTAAAATTCAGCTATCATATGATCCAGCAATCCTATTGCTGGGTGTATACCCAAAAGAAAGCAAGCCAGTATACTGAAGATGTACCTGCACTCCCATATTGGTTGTAGCACTGTTTACGATAGCTAATATTTAGAAGCAATGTAAGTGTCCATCAACAGATGAATAAATAAGGCAAATGTGGTACAAATACACAATGGAGTACTATTAACAATAAAAAAGAATGCGATCCAGTCATTTGCAACAATATGGATGGAACTGGAGATCATTACATTAAGTGAAATAAGCCAGGCACAGGAAGACAAGCATCACATGTTTCACTTATTTGTGAGATCTAAATATCAAAACAATTTAATTTGTGGACATAGAAAGTAGAAGGATGGTTACCAGAGGCTGGGAAGGGTAGTGGGGAACTTGAGAGGGGAAAGTGTGGGTAGTTAATGAACAGAAAATAAAAAAGTTAGAAAGAATGAATAAGACCTACTATTGATACCACAATAGAATAACTATAGTCAATAACTTAATTGCATATTTTAAAATAACTTAAAAAATGTTATTGGATTGTTTGTAACTCATAGGATAAATGCTTGAGGGCATAGGTACTCCATTCTCCATGATGTGGTTATTTCACATTGCATGCCCATATCAAAACATCTCATGTACCCATAAATATACACACCTACTATGTGCCCACAAAAATTTTTAAAATAAATAAATAATATAAATAAATTAAAAAAGAAAAAATAGAACAGAATTGTAAAAAGCACATTACCTGACTTAAAACTATACTAAAGAGCGATAGTAACCAAAACAGCATTGTACTGGCATAAAAATAGACACATAGACCAGTGGAACACAATAGAGAACACAGAAATAAATCCATACATCTACAGTGAACTCATTTTTGTCAAAGGTACCAACAACATACCCTGGGGAAAAGACAAGTTTGTAATGGGATACAGTAGTAGTAGTATTGTTACCAACAAGTCTGGTTCCCCAGAAAATGGGGTCTTTCACTGTTCAGTGTTATGAAACTAATATGTAAAACAAAAAGTGGGCATCAAGCAGTGCAGAATTGATTCCATGGCCATGAAATTGAGAAGGGGGAGAACGGCTCACTAATAAACTCAACTAATGAGGAGTAAGGGGTTAAAATATAGGATTTCTCTGGTGATGGGATTGAATATTAAAAATGAGAGAAGGAATAGTCATGTCTTTTCCGGAAATGAGTGGTGAACTTCTGCCTTCATTTAGTCCTTTTAGGGCTTCTTCTGGTCATTGTTATGGTGAGAGATGGGAATGTTATTTAGCATGGAAATGGGATTATAGTGAAGCCTGAGGTCTTTTTTAAGTTATTTGATTGGCTGTGATGGTTCTAACCAATCTCAGCTGGTCTGGTTACAAAGGACACTTTTTTTCACAGGTCTCTTGTTTCTTAAAGATAAGCATAACTAGGGCAGGGTAGAAATTCAGCTATGTCATGAAAGCATTACACAGGGTAACAGTAGTAGTAGAAGTAGTATTACCTGTAGTATTATCTTCATAATCATTGGAAATACTAGGAACTTTTTAAGTTACATTGTATAAAAAACAATGGCTGAATTTATTGCAATAAATCTCATGAGTAGGTTCTCAACAAAGATAGTGGTGGTGGGAATAGTGAGGAGAGGATGACCTGAGAACTGTGTAAGAGAAGAATCAAACACATCTGACCAGTTGGAAATGAGTATAAAATGTAGAAGGAAGAGTTTTATCCTCTAGTTTGGAATTCACAAATAGTAAATTTGGGGTATATTTCACAAGTAGTAAAACAAAGAGTGTAATACATCAGGATATGCTCTGATACATTAGTGCCTATAGAATTCAGGCTGAGAGCCATATGAGAAGTTGTTGCAAATACATAGCCTTTTTTCTACTTTTTTAAAGTATTGAGATATTAGGCATCTCTGTGCCGAGCTGCAGGACAAAAAGACCCTGTAGCAGTCAAGCCCTGCTATTCGTTGCACCTGCTCTGCATGCTCCTCAATGATATCTTCAGATTTGCCTAACAGCCCCATTAATATCTTTATCTCTGATAGCCTGACTCACCATATCTTTAATAAAACCCTTGTTCACAGGGTGACCACAATGCCTCTGCTCATTTTAGGTGCCTAAGTGTTCTAGCCTAGTAATTATCTTCCTCAAACGGCTCCCTTTTTAACCTATGCTTCTAGCAGCGGAGTTTCTTTGTTGCTATGGATTCTGGACAGACTATTTTGTCAATCCTTGAACCCAATATTCTCTTTTGCAAACAGTTATATACTAAAGTCGATATTTTCTTTTACCTCATTTCCTTGTTAATAGACAAAGACATATATTGAGAATATACTTGTCTGGCATCCTGCTGAGATTAGTCCTTGGATTTCTGCTGACTTTAATCTTTATAAATGATCTAGAGAAAGGCAGTGACTGTGAACTAACTGGAAATACTAATCAGCCAAAATTGCTGGGGAGGAAAGAAGTAGAGGAAGCTACAAACCCAACACAGGTGGAGTCCAATATGCCATGTAGCTAAGTGGGTGTGTGGTAAACTGACATAATAAGGAACCTTGTGAAGAGCACTACAAATTGGAGATAAATGATTAAGAAATATGTAACACCATTCAGTTGAAATGCATGAAGTTTTGGGCATAATTATGGATCAGTCACCCCGAAAGGCATTAAATGTGTGAAGCTTCAATTAGACCAGGAAAAGGATAAGATCCACTAAAATAGTATACTTGAAAACAGAATTGTATTTCAATTTATTTTAACTTTCATTTAAAAATACTAATGAGAGAAGAAACAGAAATGTGGTATCAAGATTTGCTGCCAGAGACTCATTTAAGAAACTGGAGCGTTTGCGTATGTGTGTTTGGAGTTCATTGCAATTTAAAGTTTTGATACATGCATACACTCATAACTACCACCTAAATCAAGATATACACACATTTTTTATCAGCCTAACCTAGAAACTGTTCTTAAATCCTCTTTAAAGGCAACCTCACTTTTTCTACAGGAAGCTTCTTTCAGTTCCTTCTATACCCGTAGATTCATATGGCACGAACCAGGATTTCATATACATGAAATAATATAGTATGTGCTCTGTGTTTGGCCAGCATTTGGCTTCTGAGATTAATTCAAACTGTTTGGTTTATCACTACTTCATATCACAACTTTTTAATTCATTATCCCACTGATGGACACTTTCACCATTTTTGTTTGGGGCTCTTTTGTGTGTGTGTTTAAAGCTTCTGTGAACTTTCCTGCAGAAGTCTTTCTTTCTTTCTTTTTTTTTTTTTTTGAGACGGAGTCTCACTCTGTCATGCAGGCTGGAGTACAGTGGCATGATCTCGGCTCACGGCAAGCTCCACCTCCCGGGTTCATGCCATTCTCCTGCCTCAGCCTCCCGAGTAGCTGGGACTACAGGCGCCTACCACCACGCCTGGCTAATTTTTTGTATTTTTAGTAGAGATGGAGTTGCACTGTGTTAACCAGGATGGTCTCGAACTTCTGGCCTCATGATCTGCCCGCCTAGGCCTCCCAAAGTGCTGGGATTACAGGTATGAAGAAGTCTTTTCTTTTTGAACATATGTTTTAATGTATCTTAGGAATTGGATCATAGAGTAGTTATGTATTTCCAACTTCTGAAAACCTCTGGGGTTCCTTGGCTTGCAGCAACGTAAGTTTAATCTCTGCCTCCATCTTCACATGACTTTTCTGTGTCTCTGTGATCTCTCCTTTCCTTATGAGTAAATTAGTCATTGGATTTAGGGCCCACCCTAACACAGTACAACCACCTCCTAACTCAATTAACTGCAAAGACCAGATTTCCAAATAGGTCACAGTCTTAGGTCTCAGATGGTACAAATTTGTGATTACATGATTCAATACACTAGTACTATATACTAATATTATATAGAAATACAATTTATTTTTTAATGTCCTAGTGTCTCATGACTTTGCTGAAGTTATTTATTAGATACAAAATTTGTCTTATACATTTTTAGAGTTTTTATTTTGTACAATCATGTCTGATCATCTGTGAATAAAGGCAGTGTTACATTTTTCATTTCAATCTGTATCTTTCATTTCTTTTTCTTATCGTTATGCTCTCAAAACAACCTCCAGTACAATATGAAATAAACATAGTATGGAGAAACCCCATCTCTACTAAAAATACAAAAAAAATTTTACTGGGCATGATGGTGCATGCCTGTAATCCCAGCTAATCGGGAGGCTGAGGCAGGAGAATCGCTTGAACCCGGGAGATGGAGGTTGCAGTGAGCTGAGATCATGCCATTGCACTCCAGCCTGGGCAACAAGAGCAAACTCCATATAAATAAATAAATAAATAAATAAATAAATAAATAAATAAATAAATGTAGTATGTCTATACTTCCTTTCTCCAATTTTAAGAAAAAAAGCAATGGCTATGGATATTTTACAGATGCCCTTTATCATATTAAAGAATGTTATTTCCATTCCTATTTTGTTGAAATTTTTATCACGAAAGGCTGTTAGATTTTCTTAAATGCTTTTATTCAACATATTGATGAAAATGATCATTTTTTTTTTACTTTGTTAATTAAGTGAACTGCATTGACTGATTCTGGATTGTTAAAACATTTTGTATTATCAAGATAAACTGTACCTTCTTTATTATTTATATTTTTGTGCATCCAATTTGCTGATATTTTATTGAAAATGTCTGTGCCTATGTCCATGAGAAATGTTACTCTCTCATTTTAGTTTACTATAAAGCCTTTGTTCAGTAGGTACCAGGGTTAGGCTGATCTTATGAAGCAAGTTGAACCGTGTGTTCTATTTTCTGAAAGAGTTGTGTATGACTGGAATTACTTATTCCCTAAATAATAGAAAAAATTCACCAACGAGACTCTATGAAACTGGAGTTTTCTCTGATAGAAGGTTTTTGATGAGTTCCATTATTTAATAGATTTATTCATATTTTCATTTATTCTTTGTTTTATTAAGTGTATTTTATAATAATTTGTCAATTTCAACTAGTTTAACCTACAAAAGGAATTCATAATATTCACTTATTTTAATTTTATTGTTTGTAGTTTCTGTAAGGATTTCTTTTATTTTCTTCCTGACGTTGGTGATTGATATTCGTAGTGTTTCAACAATTGTATTAATCTTTTCAAGAACTAACTTTTGGCTTGTCAAGCCTTTGTTTTTGTGTTTTAATTTTTCTTCTTTTCTGCCGTAATTTTATCATTTCCTTCTTTCTACCATTTATTTGTTTCATTTACTTATCTTTTTGTAACTTCTTGAAAACATTCCCTTATAAGTGTTGCTTTAGTTCATAGACTAAATTTTGATATATTGTATTTTCATTCTAATTTAGTATAAAACATTTCCTATTTTTAACATTTTCTCAAATTTTCCTTTGATTCTTGCGTTACTGAGAAGTATATTATTTCTTGATTCTCAGTAGTGTTCCATTGGTCTATGTAACTGTTTTTATTCCAGTACCATGTTGTTTTGGTTACTATACTCTGTGATATAATTTTAAGTCAGATAATGTGATTCTTCCAGTTTGTTCTTTTTGCTTATGATAGCTTTGGCTATTTTGGGTCTATTGTGATTCCATATAAATTTTAAGATTATTCTATTTCTGTGAAGAATATCTGGTATTTTGATAGCGATTACGTTGGCTCTGTAGATTGCTTTGGGAAGTATGGAAAATACTGCCCAATTTTTATTTTTCCAGTCCATGAGCATGAAATCGTTTCATTATTTTTTGTGTTCTCTAAAATTTCTTGCACCAATGTTTTATAGTTTTCATTATAGAGCTCTTGCCCTACTTTGGTTAATTCCTAGGCACTTAATTTCATTTGTAGCTCTTGTAAAGGGGATTACTGTCTTGATTATTTTTTCAGATTGTTCACTGTTGGCATATAGAAATACTTCTGATTTTTGTATGTTGATTTTATATCCTACAACTTTACTGAATTTTTAAAATCATTACTAATAGTTCTTTTGGTGGAGTCTTTAGGTTTTCCAAATATAGTATCGTATCATCTGCAAACAAAAAAAAATTTGACTTCTTCCTTTCCAATTTGGATGCCCTTTATTTCTTTCTCTTATGTGATTGCTGTAGCGAAGAGTTCCAGGACTATGTTAAATAACAATGGTGAAAGTGGGCATTCTTGTCTTGTTCCAGATCTTAGAGAAAAGGCTTTCATTGTTGCCCATTTAGTATGATACTAGCTGTGAGTCTGTTATATGTGGCCCTTTTTGTATTGAGTTATCTTCCTCCTAAACTCAGTATATAAGGGTTTTTTTAAGAAGAAATGTTGAATTTTTATCAAATGCTATTTCAGCACTAGTTGAAATGATCATATGGTTTTTATCATTCACTCTGTTGATATAATGTGTAACTATGATTTGATTTGTACAACAGGTCTAGTGTTGTTGAAATCCCTTAGCATTTGTTCATCTCAGGAAGTATTTCTCCTTCATGTTTGAAGAACAATTTTGGTGAATATTCTATGCTAGGATAAAAGATTTCCTCCTTTAGCACTTTAAATATGTCATACCACTCTCTGCTGGCCTGTAAGGTTTTCACCATGAAGTCTGCTGCTAGATATATTGAAGCTTCATTGTATATTTTTTTTTCCTCTTGTTACTTTTAGAATCCTTTCTTTCTCCTTGACATTTGGGAGTCTGATTATTACATGCCTTCAGGTAGTGTTTTTTGTATTATATTTGCTTATCCTTCTATAACCTTCTTGTACTTGAATATTGATATATTTCTCTAGGTTTGGGCAGTTCTCTGTTATTACCTACTTGAATTATTTTTCTACCACTATGTCTCTTTATAACTCCTTTTTAACGTTCTTAGATTTGCCCTTTTGTGGCTATTTTCCAGAACTTGAAGGCATGCTTCATTTTTTTTAATTCTTTTGTCTTTTGCCTCCTCTGTCTGTGTGTTTTCAAATAGCTTGTCTTCAAACTCACTAATTCTTTCTTCTGCTTGATCAATTCTCTTGCTAAGAGACTCTGATGCATATTTCAATATGTCACGTGCATTTTTAATCTTCAGAATTTCTGCTTGAATCTTTTTAATTATCTCAATCTCTCTGTTAAATTTATCCAATAGGATTCTGTATTTCTTGTTTATGCTGTCTTGAATTTTATTGAGTTTCCTCCAAACAGAGTCACCGTTTTGAACATCAGAGCACCGATGTTTATTTAAGACCCAAAGGCTCCTAAGTCAGCTTGTGGTTATAGTTGTCAGTCCAGAATCACTCCCTCCAGGCCAGTGGGCTCTCCTGTTGTCCAGGTTGGGTGTAAAAATGCCATACAGGAGTCAAGGCCTGGAATAGGGGACCCCGGAAACCCACTTGGTGATCTACCTCACTGTGGCCGAGTTGTACCCAGGATGCATGACAAGGTCCTCATTTACTCTTCCTTCTCCTTTTCTCAAGCAGAAGGAGTCTCTCCCCATAGGCACCATAGCTAAGAATGTGCTGAGTCACGCCTGAAGCCAGCACCGCTCTGATTCTCACCCCAGGCCCACCGTGAGTACTGCCTGGCTACTACTGCTGATTATTCGTGATCCAAGGGCTTTTTAGTCAGCAAGTAATGTGCCCTGCCAAGGTCACAGGATCCTTGGGGTGTTGCTTTTCTGGCCAAAAACCTCTGGGCCAGTGGTACCTCTGCCTGAGTTTTGCTCGGGCTGGCTGGCTTGTTCCACCTACTTGGCCAAGAAGGCTGTACTCAGCTCATGCCACTAGCCTGGATCCCATGCCTGCCAAGGGCAAGCCAACCACAGAGTGGTGAAGGGTGTATGAGTGAGTGAGCGTGCAGTCTGGCAACTGTGCACAGCCAGGCACTCTGGCTGTGGTAGGGTGGGCAGCTCCAGGTTCCAGCATGGGCACTGGCTTCCTGCTAGGCTGCAGTTGGACCAGGAGTACCGCAAGCAACTTCCACAGCTGGCACTGGGGAATGTTGTTGTGCCTGGACCATAAGCTTGGAGATGCCAGGAACCACAGAGCCTCAAAGAAAGTGACATAGCTCTGGCTTGGGGAGCTCCTAGGTCTGGGCTTCCCAAAGAGCTCCAGCTCTTCTCTCCTTCTTTCTTCTCTCCTTCTCTCTTCTCTCCTTCTTGTTGCCCGCAACATGGTGAGCAAGGGGCATGTTTCAGTCCTGTCAGTTACTGCTCTTTCAACCCTGCCATTCAGCGGGTCCCAAGTTCTTGTCCCACATCCAAGAAAATGAGGTACATGGACAAGTGGAGGGTGAGCAAGGTGAAGAGGAGCTTTACTGAGTGACAGAACGGCTCCGAGGAGACCTGCAGTGGGTAGCTCTTCTCCACAGGCAGGTGTCCTGACAAGAGTTCAGCTCTCAGCAGAGAGGAGACACACAGTGGGTAGCTCCTCTCTGTAGGCAGGTTATTGGGTCATCTGCCTGAGTCTGGCGCAGTTTGGGGTTTTTATGGGCTTCACAGGGGAGGAAGTGTGTGCTGATTCGTCCATGGATGGCTGTGAGTGGGCCCAGAAAAAGCACCATAAGTTCTCATTCTGCTCAGCGGAACTGGCAGCCCAGCCTCCAGGTCTAAGGCCGTCCCTGGCCTGAAGGTGGGATTTCGCCGGGGACCTGCCCCTTTCTGCCCAGGAACCTGTCTGCCTCCTGCCACAATTAACCTGCCATCCATGGTGCCCATGGCATCCAGGCTTGCCTGCAGGCCTGCGCCAAGCCACCCTTAGCCTCCCTTCAGCCTCCCTCGCTTGCCTGTTAGTGCCCAAAGTCTGGAGGAGGCTGAGGTGGCAGGGAGCTGGCATGTCAGCACTGCCTCGAGCACATGCACACCCAGCCAGGTCATGATAGTGCCTGAGCACAGCCACAACTTCGCTCTGAAATGTGAGCAGGTGCTGGGAGCAGGGAGAGGCCAGGCAGTGGGAGCAGGCACTTCTGAGCCAGGGGTGGCTTTCCGGGCCGCCGAGAGTGTAGAGATGCCAAGGTTTGCAGAGGTGGCTGGGTGGCTACAGCTGTGCCTGGAAGGGAGGAGCTCTTGCCCCTCCAACTTGGCAGGGGCGGGGTTTCTTCCTGTTCCTGGCTCCCACTGACACCATGGAGCATGCAGCTTTGGCTGCGCCTCCCCAACTGCACCCAGCGTCAAGGGCAACGGCCGCTCCAGATGGGCCACCGCTGCCATCACCGGGACTGCGTTCTTTCCTTCAAGACAGGGGGTTCCCTTCTGACCAAGGGTGTCTCCACAAATATTGCCTGGGAGCTAGGGCCTAGATTAGAGACTTTAGGATGCTGCCTTGTGTCCTATACTATAGTGGCTGAGTTGCTATCCAAATTGTGAGACAAATTATTCTTTACTTTTCATTCTCCTCTCCTCAGACAGAGGGAAAGGGTCTCTTCCAGAGCTGTGAGCTGCACTGCCTGATGTTGGGAGAGGAGCAATGCAAGCACTCCTTTGGCCACTCTAGCTGGCAACTCACTAAGTTGTGTGTCCCCAGCACAGAACTAGTACTCACCCAGTAATTCTAGTCCTGTGGCCTGGACTGCCTTTCATGTTTATTTAAGACCCCAGAGCCCTTTAGCCTGCAGTGGTGGGGATTACTGGAGATAAGGTCCCGACCACTGGTACGGGTGATTTTCCTCTGGCAAGGGCTGTTCTAAGTGCTCCCTCTGTGGGCAGTGGCTGAGTTTTGCCCTCTTTTGCTTTCCACTATAACAGAACCACACTGAGTTCCAATGCAAAGTCCCACAATCACTGTGCTCTTTCTCTCCCAAGTGCACAGTCTCTCTCTGTGCCATGCAGCCACTAACAGAACATGCAAGTATGGTATCAATGATTCAAGACTGTTTCTTCTATTCTCTTCAATACGTCTTTCCTTAATATGATTAAAGCCAGCTACTGTGATTACTCACTTGATCATTGGTTCTTATGAAGGTGTTTTTTGTGTGGATAGTTGTTCAGGTTGGTATTCCTACAGCAAGGATGATTGCCGGAGGCTTCTATTTAGCCATCTTGCTCTACCTCCATCTTTCATCTCTTTAAAGATACCATTACATTGTCTTCCTTCCTCCATTATTTTCAAAAGACAGGTTTTCAAGACACCCATTTCTCTCTTTCTCTCTCTCTCTGTCTCTCTGTTTTTATCAACTTGACTATGATATGTTGAGGTGTTTTCTTCTTCTTTTATTCTGCTTAAGATTTGCTGACTACTCAGATTTGTATGTTGCCTTTGTTTTTTACCAAATTTAGGAAAGTTTTAGACACTGTTTCTTTTTCTTTTTTCTTTTCTTTTTTCCTTTTTTTTTTTTTTTTTTTGAGATGGAGTTTCGCTATTGTTGCCCAGGCTGGAGTGCAATCGCACGATCTTGGCTCACCGCAACCTCCCGGGTTCAAGTGAGTCTCCTGCCTCAGCCTCCCGAGTAGCTGGGATTACAGGCATGCGCCACCACACCCAGCTAATTTTGTACTTTTAGTAGAGACGAGTTTTCTCCATGTTGGTCAGGCTGGTCTCCAACTCCTGACCTCAGGTAATCTGCCCGCCTTGGCCTCCCAAAGTGCTGGGATTACAGGCGGAAGCCACAGCGCCTAGCCTAGACACTGTTTCTTTAAATAAATCCTTTGAGCTCATTATCTCTTTTCTTTCTTCATAGTTTCCAATTATAGTTATGTTTTACAAATTGATAATGGCTGACACATTTCAGAGGTTCTATTTACTTTTTCAACCTTTTCACACTTCTTATGCATATTACATAATTTCTATTTATCTAGTTTATTGACTCATTGTTTTGTCCATACTGGCCATGTTATTTAAGATACTCTACAGTTCTGCAATTTTTATGTGCTTCTCTTTTATAATTATCTTTTGCTCTCTTGACATTTTATGAGCTCTTTAAGATTAAGTGCTTTCATATTTTTTAACTCCAGAAAATTTACCTTGCATTTATTAAAATATTTCTTCCTGTGAATTTTTAAATACAATTTCTCACTTTCTGGGAATATTATCATCTTTTACATTGTCACTATTTTTACTTCCATGTTTCCTTCTAGAACAGTTCCTTGATCTTATCTTTTACTATTAATTCAGGTACATATGCCTCTCTATTCACTATATCTACTTTATTTATTATTTCTAATATTACATTTTGCATTAAAGTATTTCTACTTGACCATTTTTGTTTTATATTTCAATAATTTTCTATTTTCTTATCATAATAATTATTATTTATTATGCTTATTTTTAGCTTTTGATCTATATGTGCTGAGATTTATTCTTCCAATACTCCTTCCCTCTCCTTCCCACCTTCAAACAATTAGAGAGAATCAGCATCAGAGAAAAGGAATTATTCTTGGGTTTAAACGTACAAGCTGTGGTGGTTTAGAGCAGGATAAGGCATATTCAGTACTAATTATTCACCCAAAGTGAGTGATTTTTCCAAAAATTTTTGCAATTAAACAGGTTTCTGCAGTAACATTGAAAGGGAAAATGTCCCATGGCATATTGGAGAGAAAAAATAATTCATCTTAAACAGTTTTTCTGCAATTTATGGTCCCACCCCTTACCCAGAAACATTCTGCACTGGACCAGAATATTTAACCTCTAGTTCAAAAAAGCTTTCTTTCCATAGAAAATTTTTTGTCAGTAAAGATGTTACTTTCTGAAGTCTACGTTTCTTCATGTAATTTCTTTAGGGTTAATTTTGGGTGAAGAAAATAGTCATTTATTCTCATTCTTCTTCTTGAGACGTATCATATATCTTTCTTCACATATATTTGCACTAAAACTAGCACATTTCCTTCAATATACTAGATATATAATATGTGCTTTTGAGTGAGTGAATAGAGTCTTACCTCCTTTTGATCTTGTTTCTCAGGGGATTTAGCTTCTTGAGATTTGTGATATTCTTTCTTTGGTATGGCTACTCTACTTTTTCTGTGTCAATTCAAGTTTCCCTCAAGTATACTACAAAGTTTCTAAGCCAGGTTCCATAAATTTTACATATATTATGCCTCCCTCACTGCTTTTACAGTACAAAATTTATTATTCTTATTCCCTTGGGCTCATATAGGGGAACAAATGACTTTAGCTAGAGAAAATGCGATTTTAATCGATTAGGTAAATCAATTGCTTACATTGAGTCTTGTGACAGAGTAAAATTTATATCTATTGTTAATTACTGAAAATTGCATTTAGGAACAAGGAATAAAATACAGATTTTTTGTCTTTGTGTATGCATGTAGGCGGAGCAAATAATTGATGAAAACAAGGCTCACATAACAGGAACTTCTTTAAAATTAAATTATAGAAGAATAGTTACCTCTAATATATTCACAGCTAAGAGTATCAAAAACTATTTTTATTCTTAATTCTAAAATATCCATAAAAATATGTAAACACTATATAAATAATTTTTAAAACACCCATGTGCCCCTTAGACAAGTAAAAATATAGAAAATTTTCTTAGACACTTCCTGTATTATTCTTCCCAATCTCGTCCCTTTACCTATCCCACTCTGTATTAACCAGTAGCCTAACTTCACTGTCAATTATTTCCTTGCTTTGCTTTCTCATTTTCCATCTATATATGCAGCTATAAACAATATATTCTTGAATTTTACCTGCTCATAAAATTTAAATAAATGAAATTATAAAAGTATTCTTACATGAGTGACATATTTAACTTACTATTATATTTTAAATTTATATTCATGCAAGTAGTTGCAGTTTTGTTTTGTTTTTCCTGAAGTAGACTATTTCCTTTTATGAGTATATTATTTAATGATCTTATCTACTATTTATGGCTATTTAGTTACTGCTCTTTTGCTAACATAAACAGTGATACTACATATATCTCTCTTTCTGTCTCCTGTACAAACACAAGCATTTCTTTTGGGAGGGCTCCTGGGATATAAGCATCTGCATGCTCTATTTTACTAGGAAGTGCTAACATTGAAACAATTATTTCATGAATTTTTGTATTCACCTTATATTTCCCAAGCCATCTCAGCTGTCTTTATAGCTGTTAGTATTATTAGTTTAGAATAAATCAAGTAAGTCATTAAAATAGAATTCACTTCTTATCATTCTTTATCACTTACGCTATCTCCAAATCAAAGTTCTGTCAGGGAGAAGTGCTGCATAATTAGACAAGATTCTAAAAATAACACATGGCTAATTTGGTCATTTTGGCATTGTTTGTAACAGATGTCTCATATGTTGCACTGCCCAATTTATTTAGCTATAGCAATTGATTCTGATAACAGACAGCTAAATTAGATTCCCACATATGTTTAAAATCTTCCGTCACATTTCTCTTCTATGGACACATAGGCATTTGGTCTCTATAAAGAACACAATAAACTTTTTATATTTGTACAAAACCATAATTTTGTTTAGGAATCTGCACACTGAGGGAAGATCTCTGCCAGCAAAGATATTTTTCACCTAGAAGTCTTTCGTTTGCAGGGAAAGAGATTATGAGGGAGATGAAATTATCCTCACAGATGAATTAAGACATCTATAAATTTAGCTTTCTGTCTCCTCTTACTACATTGCATCCCCAAAGTGTGTTTCTCTGAATATTATCTGTATAGGATATTCATACTATACTTCCTTTATCACAGAACTCATTTAACTTAAAGATTCACTATCAGATTAATAACATTTTCAAGGGTAGCACAAAAATGTCGTTAAATGTACACACATATTAACTACCCCCAAATTGCATATTTTATCTATATAATTATATATTACTTTTTCTTCCATAATAAAATTAAAGCTTCCATTTAAGCATTGCTTACACTCAGAGTCTAAAGATTCTGCCATTCTACATTTGGCCATCAGTAGCTTATCAAAATATACAAGATATGAATATGTGCATAAATAAGAATTCTTTGTTACTGTGGTCAGCAAAATACAGGCTGTTGGCCAAATCTGACGTATGACCTCTTTTTGTAAAGTTTTATTGGAACATAGCCAGAACCATTCATTACCATATTGCCTATGGCTGCTTTTGAATTTTAATGCAAATTTTAAAGTTAAGGCAGAGATCATATAGTCCTCAAAGCCTAAAATATTTACTATCTGTTCCATTACAGAAAAAAAGTTTGCTGATGCCTACACTAGTACATCAGGATTGACTATAATTTCAAAGAATACGGAAAGAAAGAAACAAAAGAAAGTGAAATACAACTGTTTCTAAATTTTTTTTCTTAGTGTTCTTGCTTCCTTTTATCTTTCGTCTTAATTTAGTTATGTATTTCTGGATGTTTAACTTCCCTTTCTAGAGGTTAGCAAGGTGATTTTGACTCTTTGATGTTTGGTATCTAATCAATAATTAGTCTCACCATTTTAATAGTCACTTGACCTGTTCAAGTATTCTGATTACTTTTCTAAGTATATGATAGATTATAGGATTATCTTAAATTATAATAGAAGATATATGAAAATTTAGAAAATAAATGGCCAGTTTTCAACTAGTATTAAAAAACAATAGAAGAAAATATATAAATATAGGAATTTGCAGAGTAACAGAAAACACCTTTAAGCAATAAGTCAAATAAGTCAAATGGATTTTGGCCTCAGAGCAAAACTAGATAAAATTAGAAATGTCACAGCCATTGTTAAAACTGCTGAGTGAGTTTAAGTGTTTTCAACATAATCCTGTGAATTTGACAAAATTATCCATAGAAGACTGACTAAGTGTCTAACTGTGTCATGTAATCTTGATGGGTGAGAAATGTTACCTCTGGTAAGAAGATTTGGGAGTCTGTACACATTTCACAATGTTCTATTTTCCTTAACACAGTAACAAGAGAAGCAAGTGTCAAAATTGAGTCTGCAACATCCTGAGTTCCTAAATGACTACATGTGCTGATCCATAGGCACACGTAGGATAACACTGGTGAACATTATTGTGTTAAGCCATTTAGATTTTGGATTTTCTTTTTTCCATCAACATAAACATAGCCTACCTTTACTCCAACCATTACCAATCTCATTTTATTGTATAAACTATGATATTTGATGACTCCTAATGCCTTTAATCATATACAAGAAAAGTGACAGGTGGTTTGTAAATATTAAAATTTTATTTGAATATTGAATCATAGCATAATATTTTAAAGAAATGTTAAATAGCAATTATCAATCCTCTTCAGACCTAGACTCCCAGGAACACATGTGAAGTTACCCAAATTGGTTTATTAGTCATTGCCGTGAGGAGGACACACAAGGGGAACTGTAATGTCTCAGTAAAAAGGTGTTTAAAAAGCTATTATAGTATTTAGAATTGTTAAGTGATTTGAGGGCGGGTGTAGAGAAATTTGCTGTAGATTGGATGCTGTCAGAAAGTAGTAGCAATCTATGATGGGTTATCTCAATAAATCCTACCTAGACAAAGGGGAGATTAGAAAAAGGATAAGGTTTTACTTGGAAAATGAGTAGTAATTTCTCCTTTCAGCTAAGAGAGGGGTGTTTGGTATTGTGTGGGAGACAGAGTAAATGTGTCTTTGACTATGCATACAGAAGATTATGAAGTGGTCCTTTTTTTTTCTCATTTTATCTTGGTCCCATAGTAACCTTGTCTGAGATTGGTATTTTGTGAAACTATTTATATCTTAAGAGAATATCATGGCCTACTCTGAGTGCAAGGCCAAATTCGAAATTTACATAACTCTTTTTCCTTTCTCAACTTAAAAATGCAAATTTAAATTTGAAAAACCATCCTGTGACGTATCACCAAAAAAATAACACAACCATAGTTCTAATAGGGTAGAAAAAATGTTTATATTAAGATATGGCTTATGTGGACATAAGTACAGGTAAAGATATTTACAATATACTGTTTTCCATGCAACAGTGTAAGGTTTTCTCTTGATATTGGTAACGATATCTAAACTCCAGAAAAATATATAGTGTTTATATCATAGAATAAATAAAATATGGTATGTGTTAACGGATAACCCATAACCTGCATAATGGTTGGAATGGCGTTAATAAGGCATTGGGAATGCTGTTGTTGATACTCCTTGTGAGAATTCCTGTGTTAAGTGCTGGGAAGATAGTTGGGTCCTGAGCCACTTGGCCTTGGTCCCTGCTATCACTATTATGATGAAAGATATATTAGCTTTCTTTTTTTTTTCCAGATAAATGTAAAAAGGACAAATAAAATAAAATCTATCAAACAGCTAATTTAAACTTTTGGTATACAGTGGTGTCAAAATTACCGTGATTATTAAAAATCATGGACTTTTAAACATTTTTTTAAATTGTATTTTGGGTAGTCCTACTCTATAATTCTAATTTTTTGACATTATTTCTATTTCAACATTCAGGTCTATACTCACATATTTACTTTTCTTCTTTTGGAAATTTTATTTAAAGGATAATAAGGATAAAAATAAAACCAAAATTACAAAGATAAAGGCAATATGAAGAGAACTTTCAGTGGACAAATAGTTTGATAATTTTCTGGATGGTAGAAAGTAGATAGAAGGAACTAGAATATCTTAGGGATCAGAATTAGGGCTGCCAGATAAAATACAAGAATCCCACTTAAATTTAAATTTTATACTAGTAAAACCTTTTTAGTATAATATCTCAAATATTTTATGGGGTATAGCTTATCATAAAAAAGTAGTGTAAGTTTGTTTCTTGCAATATATGGTGTCTTTATTTTAAATTTTATGTATTTACTTCTTTATTTATACCTTTATTTATCTGACGGTCCTAGTCCAAAGAAAACTACTATTCTGAGAGATATTTGTGAAGATTGTTAATTCATAAATTTCAAATAAGATGGCATTAAAAAAATAACAGTCACAGAATAAGAAAGAAATCTCAGATATGTAATTGCTGAAATATAGAGATAAATAGTATAGAAGTGAATATGAAAAGTAATTCCTTCAGAACATGACATAGACATGGCAAATATGAGGAAAAAAATGAAGGCCCAGTGCAAGGGTTGGCTCACTCTGACCTATAGGCTAATGCTGCTGACTGCTTGTTTTCATTTGCCCTGCAGACACCACTCAGGTGGATTAGTACTGTGAGTCCCAGAAACTCAGGCAGGGCATCCCAATTTGTATGTTCCTTCTCCACTCCTGCCTGCCTTTCCAGGTGACAGCCTGGAGTGCTCAAGCTCTGGACTGGTTACCACCTCTATGTGGGAAACTGCAGTTAGCAATTACTAGGCATCAAGAAGTGAAATCTTGGTTGAGTAATCAGGGACTCAGAAAATTTTCTCACCTCTAGATTCTGTCCTAGTTGTGAAAACTGGGCTCTCCTGAGAGAGAGGAGGGCACATCTGGACTAGGGTGTCATTGAGTCAGTGAATCAAACTGAACAGGGTGGCTCTTGGCCCCACATCTCACCCACCTCATCCACACATTCCTCTTTCTTTGGATGGTGGCTCTATGTTCTTCACATCAAAATGTCTCCAGATTCCAGCAACTGGGTGCAAAGTATGCCTGCCACTTGTGGAGTCCATCCCAGGCAAGTAAGAGTGGGTAAAGCAGAGTTTCTTTCCGTTAAGTAAGCACCTACATAATATCCTTGATGTTGCCACTTCACTAGTAAAAACCACAGCCAAGAATAATGAAAAAAATTAAAACATTTTTACACATGCCAGAACACATTTTTATTTTAAGAAGTTACTTAGAGATGTAAACTAAGGAAGAAGACATAATAGGAAAGCAGCAAAAAATATATCTCAGTATTGTAGTGGAGAAAGAATTATCCATGGATGATAAATCTGCCACATTCTATGCTCCATAAAGTCTGGATTTGGTAGGGATGGAGGACTCTGAGAGTTTTATGTGAAAGAAAAATAATATTCCTTAAAAATTAGTACAATTGAGAGTTTGGAAATATGCTGGAATTTATTAGGGGATTATAAAAGAATATAAATTTATTTGAACTTGACATTTGGCTCACTTTACATTGAATAAGAGTGTTTGAACTGTGGATAAGTCAATGAAATCTTAACACACTGCTGCTGTGGCAAAGAAAAATATTTATATATCAATATAATTTGGCATTGTTTCTTTTCTAACTTTCATAATCATGCATTAGTAAATCACAGAAGAATGAATTATAGCTATGAAACAAAATAGAGTTCCTTATACTATAAGGCTTTCTATGAAGAGAGAGATTAATTAAATGAGCTGAATTTAGAACAGCCAACTAGAAGCCTAAAAACTAACACAGACTTAAAAAGACAGAAGCTTCACACAAATTCCTCAATGAAAGGAGAGGCTGCTTCATTTCTAGTATCTGAGTGAGTCAAAGAAGGGGTATGAAAAGGTTTGGAGAGTGGAGTGTTTGATGCTACATTATCAGTATCTATAAATTTTATTAATATTAAACACAATAACCTCTTGCTTTCAAGTGCAACAATTTGAAAAAATGTCTTATTGGTACTTTTAGAAAAGGACATAACATGATAACAGCAACAGAGATTTTATTTACTGATTGGTTACTATGTTAAAAAATGTATAGTTGAGGAGCAGAACAAGATGGCATAATGGAAGGCTCCACTGATTGTCCCCCCACCCCTGCCCGCCCTTGCCTGCAGAGACATCAATTTAACAACTATCTACCAAAGTCACCTTTATAAGAACCAAAAATCAGGTGTGCACTCACAGTACCCGGTTTTAACTTCATATTGCTGAAAGAGACACTGAAGACTAGGAAAAACAGTCTTTAATCACTGATACAACCCCTCCCCTGTCTCCTGGCAGCAGCCACATGCTGTGGAGAACATTTCTGTGCACTGGTTATAGGGAGAGTGCAGCAACTGTGAGACATTGAATTTAGTGCTCCCTATTATAATGGAAAACACAACTGAACCAAACTCAGCTGATGCCCACCCACAGAGGGAGCATTTAAACCTCCTCTAGCCAGAGGGGAATCTCTGATCCCAGGAGTCCAAATGTGGTTCCCACAAGCCTTGCAGTAAAGTGCTCTTGCTAACAGAATAAACTTGAAAGGCAATCGAGGCCACAAAGACTGCAACTCTTATGCAAGTCCTTGTGCTGAATGGGGCCCAGAGACAGAGAACTTGGTGGGGAGGGAGTCAGGGGACACATGATTCACTGGGAGACTAGCCAGGCAGGCTAAAAGAGTGCTGGTATTACTCCTCCCCTAACCTCAGGCTATACAGCTGACAGGTTCAAAGAGACCCCTTCCATCCACTAAACAGTGAGGAGGACTTTATCTTATATCCTGGGTTCCAGTACAGCCACAGCAGGATAGGACACTGGTCAGAGTCCTTAGGCTCATTTTCCAGGCTCTGGCTCCTAGATAACATTTCCAAACACATACTTGGCTAGAAGGGGACCTGGGCCTTGAAAGGATGATCCCAGCCTTGAAAGGATGATCCCAGTTCTGGTAGGATTCATTACCTGCTAACTGAAAAGCCCTTGGGCCCTGAATAACCAGGACCAATAACAAAGTATTACATTGAAGGCCTTGAGTGAGACTCTGAGACTCGCTGGTTTCAGGTGAGACTCAGCACATTCCCAGCTACAGGGTGAGGCTTCTTTCACTTGACAAAAGCAGAGGTAAAAGTAAAGGTGACTTTGTCTTGCACTTTAGGTGCCATCCAGCTCAGCCCCAGTGGGGATAAAGCACCAAGCAGGCTCTTGGGGTTTCCGATTCTAAGACTTGACTCTTGGACAGCATTTCTGGACCTGTCCTGAGTCAGAGGGAGCCCACTTCCCTAAAGTGTGAATCCCAGGCCAAGCAGCATTCACCACAAGATGACTGAAGAGCCCTTGGGTTAAGAAACATTGACTGTGCTCTGGCAGTACTCCCCCTGGGCCTGTGGTGGTGGTGGACATGGCATGAGGCTCCTTTGCCTTTGGAAAGGAGAAAGAAGAGTGGGAAAAACTGCATTTTATGGTTTCACTGTCAGCCCAGCCTCAGTACAATAGAATACCACATATACTTCTAAGATTTTTGAATTTAGTTTCTTACTCCAAGTCAGCAACTCTGGACCCACCCAGGGCCTAAGGGAGCTTGTAACTATGAAATGAAGAAATTCAAGGCTGGCTGGCTTTGTCACCTGTAGATTGTAGAGCCCTAAGTTTTTGAATGAAAGTAGGCCATAGCCAGGGAGTGGTTATGGCAGGTGTTTTGTGAGACCCAATGCTGTGCTGACTTAGGTCGAACCCAGCACAGGCCTAGTGTTGATGCCTGCAGTGTTTCTTTAGTCACTTCACCTCCAACCCAGGTGGCTCAAAACAGTTTCTTCAGGAGAAGGTATGGGGAGAGAACAAAGAGTCTCTTTCTGGTAACCCAGAGAATTCTTCTGGGTCTTGTCCAAGACTATCAAGGCTGTACTTCTACAAGTCTGAAAGAACCACAGTGTTACTGTGTTTTAGGTGCCCCTTAAAGCAGATACAGCTTAGATTACAACGCTCAAGTTGTATTAAATATCTGGAAAGGTTCCCAAAAAGGGCAGGTACAACCAAGCCCAAGTGGAGAAAACTACAATAAATACCTAACTTTTCAATGCCCAGAAACAAATGAATGTCTACAAGTGTCAAGACCATGCAGGAAGACAAAATGTCACCAAATAAACTAAATGCATCAGGGACAAATCCTGGAGAAACAGATATATGTGATCTTTCAGACAGAGAATTCCAAATAACTGTGTTGAGGAAACTCAAAGAAATTTAAGGCAACATGAAGAAGGAATTTAAAATTTTATCAGATATTTTAATAAGAGATTAAAATAATTTGAAAGAATCAAGCAGAATTCTAGAGTTAAAAATGCAATGACATGATGAAGAATGCATCAGAGTCTCTCAACAGCAGAATTAATCAAACAGGAGAAAGAATGTGTGGGCTTGAAGACAGGCTACTTGAAAATATACAGTCAGAGGAGACAAAAAAAGAATAAAAAGCAATGAAACATGCCTACAGGATCTAGAAAATTGCCTCAAAAGGGCAAATCTAAATTACTGGCCTTAAAGAGGAGGTACAGAAAGAGAAAGGGATAGAAAGTTTATTCAACGGGATAATATCAGAGAACTTCCCAAACCTAGAGAAAGATACCAACATTGAAGTACAAGAAGGTTATAGACTGCCAAACAGGTATAACCCAAGTAAGCCTACCTCAAGGCATTCAATAATCAAACTCTCAGAGTTCAAAGATTTAAAAAAAGATTCTAAAAGCAGCAAGATGAAAGAAACAAATAACATGCAATTTAGCTGCAATATGTCTAGCACCAGACTTTTCAGTGAAAACTTCGTAGGCCAAGAGAGTGGTCCACAAAGACATATTTAAGGGAATGAAGAAAAACAAAAACAAAAAAACAAAACTTACTTTACAATAGTATATCTGTGAAAATATGCTTCAAACATGAAGGAAGAATAAAGACTTTCCCAGACAAACAAAATATGGCAGATTTCATCAACATCAGATCTAACTTACAAGAAATGCTAAAGGGAGTATTTAAACCAGAAAGAAAAGGATGTTAATAAACAACAAGAAATTATCTGAGGGTACAAAACTCACCAGTAATAGTAACTACACAAAAAACCCCACAGAATGTTATGACTGTAATTGTGAGGTATGAACAAACAACTCTTATCTAAGTAGAAGACTAAGCAATGATCCAACCAAAAATGATAAACAGGCCAGGCACAGTGGCTCACACCTGTAATCCCAGCACTTTGGGAGGCTGAGATGGGCAGATTACAAGGTCAAGAGATCAAGACCATCCTGGCCAACATGGTGAAACCCCATCTCTACTAAAAATACAAAAAATTAGCTGGGCGTGGTGGCGTGCACCTGTAGTCCCAGCTACTTGGGAGGCTGAGGCAGGAGAATAACTTGAACCTAGGGGCAGAGGTTGCAGTAAGCCGAGATCATGCCACCACACTCCAATCTGGTGACAGAGCAAGACTCCATCTTAATAATAATAATAATAATAATAATAATAATAATAATAACTACAGCAACTTTTCAAGAGACAGAGAGTACAATAAGATTTATTATAAATAGAAATTTTTAAAAAACAGTTAAAATTGGGGGAGGAAGTTAAGTGTTAAGTTCTTATCAACTTAAAATAATGAGTAACCTCAAACCAAAAAATGTATAAAGGATATGCAAAAAAGAAATGGTAAGAGACAATCATATTACCAGAGAAACTCAACTGCATTAAAAGGAAGGCAAGAAGGAAAGAAAGAAGGTAGCATAAAACAACCAGAGAACAAATAACAAAATGGCAAGAGTAAGTTTTTACTTATCAATAATAACATTGAATGTAAATGGACTAAATTCTCCAGTCAAAAGATACAGAGTAGCTGAATGCAAATGATAAAACAAGATCAAATATCTTGTTGCCTACAGGAAACACAATTCACCTACAAGGACACACATAGACTAAAAATAAAGGGATCGAAAAATATATCCCATGTCAACGGAAGCCAAAAAGGAGCAGCAGTCACTATACTTACATAAGACAAAATAGATTTCTAGGCAAAAACTGTAAGAAGTGACAAAGAAGGTCACTATAAAGGGGACAGTTTAGCAAGATGATATAAAAATTTTACATATATATACACACTGGAGCACCCAGATGTATGAAGCAAATATTATTAGAGCTAAAGAGAGGTAGCTCACAATAGAATAATAGCTGGAGATTTCAACACATCACTTTCAGCATTGGACAGATCTTTCAGATGGAAAGTCAACAAAGAAACATCAGACTTAATCTGAACACTATAGACCAAATTGACCTCATAGATATTTACAGAACATTTCATCCAAATACTGCAGAATACGCATTTTTTTCCCTCAGCACATGGATCATTCTCAGGGGTAGACCATATGATAGGTCACAAAACAAGTCTGAAAAAATTCCAAAAAAATTAAAATAACAAGCATATTACTGACCACAATGGAATAAAACTAAAAATCAATACGGAATTTTGGAAACTATACAGACTCATAGAAATTAAGCAATATTCTCCTGAATGACCAGTGGGTCAATAAAGAAATTAAGAAGGAAATCTAAAATTTTCTTGAAGCAAATGATAATGGAAACACAGCACATCAAAACTAATGGAATACAGCAAAAGCAGTACTAAGAAGGAAGTTTATAGCTCTATGTGCCTACATCAAAAATGAAGAAAAACTCAAGATAAACAACCTAACAATGCATCTTAAATAATTAGGAAAGCAAGAGGAAACCAAACCCAAAATTAGTGAAGAAAAGAAATAATAACTATCAAAGAAGAAGTAAATAAAATTGAAGAAAACAATACAAAAAATCAATGAAACAAAAAGTTGGTTTTCTGAAAAGTTAAACTAAACTGACAAACCTTTAGCCAGGCTAAATAAGAAAAAAAGAGAGGATCCAAATAAATAAAATCAGAAATGAGAAAGGAGACATTATAACTTACACTGCAGAAATTCAAAGGATCATTATTGGCTACTATGAGCAGCAATATTCCAATAATTTGGAAAATCTAGAAGAAATGAATAAATTTCTAGACATATATTACCTGCCAATATTGAATCTTAACGAAATCTAAAACCTGAACAGAACAATAACAAGCAATGAGATCAAAACTGTAATAAAAGTCTCTCAGTAAAGGAGAGCTCGGGACTTGATGGCTCCACTGATGAATTCTACAAAACATTTAAAGAATAACTAATACCAATCCTTCTGAAACTGTTCTGAAGAGTAGAGGAGAAGAAAATACTTCCAAACTTATTCTATGAGTTCAGTATTACCTGGATAACATAATCAGATAAAAACATATTAAAAAAGAGAAAACTGCAGGCTAATATCTCTGATGAACATTGATGCAAAATCTTCAACAAAATTATAGCAAATTGAATTTAATACTACATTAAGAAAATTATTCATCAAGACCAAGTGGGATTTACCCCAGGGATGCAAGGATGGTTCAATGTACAAAAATCAATCAATGTACTGCATAATATCAACAAAATGAAGGACAAATACCATATGATTACCTCAATTGATACTGAAAAAGCATTTGATAAAATTCAACATCTCTTCCTGTTTAAAAAAACTCAAAAACCTAGGAATAAAATGAATATACCTCAAAATAATAAAAGCCATATATAACAGATCAACAGGTAGTGTCACACTGAATGGGGAAATTCCTCTAAGATCTGGAATACGACAAGGATGCCCACTGTTATTCAGCATAGTATTGAAAGTCCCAGCTACAGCAATCAGACAAGAGAAACAAATAAAGGGTATCCAAATTCAAAAAGAAGAAGTGAAATTATCCTTGTTTGCAGATAATTTGACCTTATATTTCTAAAAACGTACACTCCACCAAAAAACGATTAGAACTGATAAACAAATTCAGTAAAGTTGCAGGATACAAAATCAGCATACAAAAATTAGCAGTATTTCTATATGCTAACAGTAAACAATATGAAAAAGAAATTAAAAAGCGATCCCATTTACAATAGCCATGCATAAAATTAAATACCTAGGAAATAATTTAACCACAGAAGTAAAAGATCTCTATAATAAAAACTATAAAACATTGATGAAAGAAATTAAAGAAAGCACCAAGTAATGGAAATATATTTCATGTTCATAGATTAGAAGAATCAATGTTGTTAAAATGTCCATACTACCCTAAACAATCTACAGATTCAATGCATTTCCTAGGAAAATAAGACATTCTTCACAGACATAGAAAAAAAAATCCTAAAATGTATATGGAACCACATAAGCCAAAATAGCCAAAGCTATCCTAAGCAAAAAGAACAAAAGTGAAGAAATCACATTATTTGACTTCAAATTATACTACAGAGCTATAGTAACCAAAACAGCATGGTACTGGCATAAAAACAGATACATAGACTAATGGAACAAGATGGAGAACCAAAAAACCAATCACATGCCTACAACAAACTCATTTTTGGCAAAGGTGACAAGAACATACACTGAGGAAAAGAGAGTCTCTTTAAAAAATTGTGCTGGAAAACACTCTATAGGAAAATAATAATCTGATTAAAAATGGGCAAAATATTTGAATAGACTTTTTCAAAAGAAGATATACAAATGGCAAACAGGCATATGAAAAGGTGCTCAACATCACTAATCACTAGAAAAATGCAACTATAATGAGATATAATCTCACCCCAGTTAAAATGGCTTTTATCCAAAAGACAGGCAATAACAAATGCTACTGAGGAAGGGAAGAAAAAGACACCCTCACATACTGTTAGTAGGATTGTAAATTAGTACAATCACTATGGAGAACAGTTCGGAGGATCCTCAAAAAACTAAAAATAGAGCTACAATATGATCCAGCAGTCACACTGCTGGGTATATACCCAAAAGAAAAAAAATCAGTATATTGAAGTGATATCTGCACTCCTACATTTGTTGCAGCACTGTGTACATTAGCCAAAATTTGTAAGCAACCTATATATCTATCAATAGACAAATGGATAAGGAAAATGTAGTACCTATATACAATGGAGCTCTATTCAGTCATAAAAAAGAATGAGATCCTGTTATTTGCAACAACATGGTTGTAACTGGAGGTCATTATGCTAATAAGCCAGGCACAGAAAGACAAATGTCTCATGTTCTCACCTTTTTGTGGGATCTAAAAATAAAAACAATTGAATACATGTAGCGAGTAGAGGGCTGGTTACCAGAGGCTGGTAGTGGGAGGATTGGGGGAGACATGTTTAATGGCTACAAAAAAAAATAGAAAGAATAAAGAAGAAGTAGTATTTGATAGCACAACAGGGATATTACAGTTAATATTATTTTACATTTTAAAATAACTAAAGGGTATAATTGCATTGTTTGAAACACAAAGGATAAATGCTTGTGGGGATGAATACTCCATTTTACATAATGTGATTATTACACATTGTGTTCTTGTATCAAAACATCTCATGTACCTCATAAATATATATGCCAACTATGTACCCGCAAAAATTAAATTAAAAATTAACAAAACAAAAAATCACAAAAACAAATATATAGTGATTCTTTAACTTTTTAAGTTTTATTTTGCCCTCACAATGACTCTACTGAGTAAATATTGTGATTCTTATGTTCATGTAATGAAACTAAGGCTCTGAGAGCAATACCTTGTCTAAGATTATGAAATTGTCAAAAAATAGTCATGATACAAACTTAGGCTTGTGTGATGCATGAGAAACTAAATATAAAAATAGAAAATGTCACGTATGACAATAGATCTCAGTCCCACCACCTCTGCAGCAACCAGCCTGAAGAAATCAGACCATAAGCTCTTCAGCAATTATCCCAGAATCATTAGGACTTGGTAAATGACTCCTAGCTTCCCTATCCTCCTCACTCCCCTCTGTGTCCAACTTAGGACCAGCCAGAGAAAGCCAAATAGGCTCCCAAACCAGTCACATAGGATGCTCCACTTCTAATGTGCCCACTTTCAACTAACCCATACCAATAATTTCCAAGCAGAGCATACCTAAAGCCTTCTCTCTCTCTTTTTTTTTTTTTTCCACTATAACACTTTCCCACTTCCCTGCCTGGCTGAGTCTGCTATATTACGGTGATAGTTGCTAACTCCTTTGCTATAACAAGCCCTGAATCCTCTATTTATTCTCATTAGGATTGGTTGCATTCATTTATACATAAAAAATTCTGTAATTTCAGCCATTATGCAACAAGATTTAGATTTCTAATGTAACAATTAATTGCTAGTTTTCTTAAAACGTATTTGTGGAAGGCAAAATTATATAGACAAAAATAAAAAGGAAAATATTTAGAGGAGCTTTTCTCCCCTTAGATAATTTGGAGTGGTAAATTGTGGAAAAATACAACTGCAAATAATTATTCTAATCCTTAAATTGACTTGTGTGGTTGGAGGAAAATATCCAGAGTCAAATGACCTTCTATATTGTATTCCTTGGCTCCATTCTACAGCTAGTACTGTTATAGATCAAAAGCACTAGCAGTGCTCAGATGTAGCTGAAGACTGTGTTAAAGCAACGTGTTTTCTGACTCTCTAGTAGCTTTCTCTCTGCAAATGGAATGAAACACAGCAGGAACTAAAAGAAAGCACCTAAGTATTGCCAATAAAGGTAAGGTGTATGGAGAAAAAAATTAAAGGGAAATGATGAATATGGTATCAATGTGTGAGGTATGAGTTCGACAAACTAGGAGAGATTCAATCTCCATCCTTTCCTAGAGTAGGTTATCTTAGGCCACTCAACATTTGATTTATTTGCAGAAACCAGTATTTATTTCTCAAATGATGTTCCTGAGAAAATCAGTTTCTCCAGAGGTTATGAGGTGCTCTCTAAAAGGGAGAAGATAGTCTCTTTTCAAGTGAAATGTGAACAACTGGGTTACACAAGTTTATACAAGTTTCTTGCCTATATGACTTCCATGAGCTTTTAATACATAGGAGTATGTGACCTGAAAATATTTCTTCACATTTTTGCAGTTCATTTCATAGGGTCATATGTTTGAAAAACATAATTGAACTAATATCATCTTCACTGGGAGCCATCTTAACATCCTAACTGCCTTTCAATATTCTACTGCAATGAAAACATGCAGAATTCCAAGTCTGAGAAAGGGCCAAAGAATTACCTTTTTAAATTTTTATACAAAATGCAATTGTTCATCTTGAATTTGGTGCAAGATGAAAGAAAGAAGATCCTGGTGTGACAGTGCACAATAGTGATTAAAGGCTGGGGACATGGAGCCAGACTGTTAGGTTTATATTATTGGGTTTGCTGTTTTGTGGCTTTAGGTAAGTTATTAATCACTTCATGCCTTAGTTTTATTTTCTATTGAATGTTATTGAGAGGATTATATAAAATAAATTACTATATGTTAAGTGCTAAAAATGTTACCTAGCTCATAATTTTCACTGTCATCAGCTTTATTATTAATTGCCATTCTCTGGGAACTATGAGTGATAGACCTAGAACATTCTGGCTTTTCCGTTCCTCTGTGTTTATGCTAAATAAGTTTAGCTTTTGATGAATACAAACTTTGAGTCAGAAAATGCAAACAAAATCATACGTGTTGTTTGAGGATGGGTGTCAGAAGAGGTGGGGGCTCATTTGTAAGTCATGCATTTCATTCCCTTAGTTCCCTTTCTCCCACTAAGAAGATGGGTAAAATCCTCTAATGACTATCCATTGCACCATGCCTCCCTCCTTAGAATGTCGCTCACTTCTGTAAAATGATTTCAAAAATTGGAGGAAAGTACAATTTACCCTGAGAACCACTTCCCCAGAGCAGCTCTGAAACCATTTGAAGCAGACAGGTCCTCTAGTAAGTCTAATGTGTTAATTTCCCTGCTAATGTGTTTGAAATTAGGTCGCTCCCTTAACTGAAGGAGGATTCACTCTCCTGTTGAAAGATTATCTTGATTTATAGGTGTCTAATGAAATTATTGTATATTAAATCAGCAGCACATTAAAAATGCCATACGCTATTTTTTCTCAAAGTTTCTCCTTCACATTGCTGCCGCGTCAAGATAAATATCAATGCCAAAAATTAAGAGTTCTTTGGTCTAACACTGTATTTAAGCCAGCACTGACTTCAGAATCTGGTTTATTCAGTCCAATTTTAGCTATAGGATTAAGAACTAATGAGCAATACTTGAATTACATTTTGGAGCTGTTGTACTACAAAATTTCTCATTCTTCTAATATATTGTAAGCTATTTTTGTGCCTTTCTAGCCTTTAAATACCTACTTTACTGGAAGGTAATCCATAATAGTTACTAGTGTGTTGCTCTGTCAGGGTACAGGAACTAATAAACCTTGAAGGATTTAGAAAGCAGCAGATTGTAATAAAGCTCCTTTATCAAGTTTGTTTGGCAGGTTTAATTACTTATTCTTATAAATATCAGAGACTAGTTCATCCCAATAGTGAAAGGTCACCTTAAACATCTCTGTAAATAATTATGAGTCTAAAAGCTTGCTGTTGAAATACCTGTTTTAATCAGGCTACTCAATTCTAAGGACATATCAAGGCAATATAATCGGTTTCAAAGACAATATTTTTAACATCTCCTCAAGCTTAAGTCATTGTTCATGGGAGGAAGAAGGTCAGTAATAATATTTGAGACCATTTTTAAAATAATGACTTAATTTACTTGGCTGTTACCTCTTTCCTAATCCCTTTTTTTCTTATCAACTCTATTTTCTAAAGATGTGATGAGAGCTATCAAAAACGTTTCACAAATGCTTGTGTGTAAAATGTATATTTGTACTTAAATTTTAACTAGCAATGAAGTTAACCTTCACCTCAGATTAAACCACAAAGTATATCCAGCTTCCCACCTTGGTCTGTGTATATTTCCTATTTTATATCCCATAAACTTAAAATATATTTGAAACACAACAATTAATACATCTTTATATCACAACCATATGATATTAGCAAGGCTATAACTTTATCCACAACTATAATTTTACTTTTGTTTTTTGTCTCTTTTGCCTAGGGCCCGAAACCCCAAATAACAAGGCTTACAAACATTTAGCACACTGCAGCAGTGTAACAACGTAGAAAATAATATATATTTGCAAAATACAAGTATTTCTCTATAATTCTATTTATATTATTCAAGCTAATCTTCGATGTTTTTCGCCATTTGACTCTTCATTAGAAATTATTCTGGAGGAGGGAGGAGCCAAGATGGCCGAATAGGAACAGCTCCTGTCTACAGCTCCCAGCATGAGCGACACAGAAGACGGGTGATTTCTGCATTTCCATCTGAGGTACCAGGTTCATCTCACTTGGGAGTGCCAGACAGTGGGTGGTCAGTGGGTGCGCGCACCATGTGGGAGCCTAAGCAGCACGAGGCATTGCCTCACTTGGGAAGCACAAGGGGTCAGGGAGTTCCCTTTCCCAGTCAAAGAAAGGGGTGACGGACACACCTGGAAAATCGGGTCACTCCCACCCAAATACTGCGCTTTTCCGACCGGCTTAAAAAACGATGCACCACCAGATTATATCCCGCACCTGGCTTGGAGGGTCCTACGCCCACGGAGTCTCCCTGATTGCTAGCACAGCAGTCTGAGATCAAACTGCAAGGCGGCAGCCAGGCTGGGGGAGGGGCGCCTGCCATTGACCAGGCTTGCTGAGGTAAACAAAGCAGCTGGGAAGCTCCAACTGGGTGGAGCCCACCACACCTCAAGGAGGCCTGCCTGCCTCTGTAGGCTCCACCTCTGGGGGCAGGGCACAGACAAACAAAAAGACAGTACTAACCACTGCAGACTTAAATGTCCCTGTCTGACAGCTTTGAAGAGAGCAGTGGTTCTCCCAGCATGCAGCTGGAGATCTGAGAACGGGCAGACTGCCTCCTCAAGTGGGTCCCTGACCCCCGAGCAGCCTAACTGGGAGGCACCCCCCAGCAGGGGCACACTGACACCTCACACTGCAGGGTACTCCAACAGACCTGCAGCTGAGGGTCCTGTCTGTTAGAAGGAAAACTAACAAACAGAAAGGACATCCACACCAAAAACCCATCTGTACATCACCATCATCAAAGACCAAAAGTAGATAAAACCACAAAGATGGGGGAAAAACAGAACAGAAAAACTGGAAACTGTAAAAAGCAGAGCGCCTCTCCTCCTCCAAAGGAACGCAGTTCCTCACCAGCAATGGAACAAAGCTGGACGGAGAATGACTTTGACGAGCTGAGAGAAGAAGGCTTCAGACGATCAAATTACTCTGAGCTATGGGAGGACATTCAAACCAAAGGCAAAGAAGTTGAAAACATTGAAAAAAATTTAGAAGAATGTATAACTAGAATAACCAATACAGAGAAGTGATTAAAGGAGCTGATGGAGCTGAAAACCAAGGCTCGAGAACTACGTGAAGAATGCAGAAGCCTCAGGAGCCGATGCGATCAACTGGAAGAAAGGGTATCAGCGATGGAAGATGAAATGAATGAAATGAAGCGAGAAGGGAAGTTTAGAGAAAAAAGAATAAAAAGAAATGAGCAAAGCCTCCAAGAAATATGGGACTATGTGAAAAGACCAAATCTACATCTGATTGGTGTACCTGAAAGTGATGGGGAGAATGGAACCAAGTTGGAAAACACTCTGCAGGATATTATCCAGGAGAACTTACCCAATCTAGCAAGGCAGGCCAACGTTCAGATTCAGGAAATACAGAGAACGCCACAAAGATACTCCTCGAGAAGACCAACTCCAAGACACATAATTGTCAGATTCATCAAAGTTGAAATGAAGGAAAAAATGTTAAGGGCAGCCAGAGAGAAAGGTCGGGTTACCCTCAAAGGGAGGCCCATCAGACTAACAGCTGATCTCTCAGCAGCAACCCTACAAGCCAGAAGAGAGTGGGGGCCAATATTCAACATTCTTAAAGAAAAGAATTTTCAACCCAGAATTTCATATCCAGCCAAACTAAGCTTCATAAGTGAAGGAGAAATAAAATACTTTACAGACAAGCAAATGCTGAGAGATTTTGTCACCACCAGGCCTGCCCTAAAAGAGCTCCTGAAGGAAGCACTAAACATGGAAAGGAACAACTGGTACCAGCCGTTGCAAAATCATGCCAAAAGTAAAGACGATCGAGACTAGGAAGAAACTGCATCAACTAACAAGCAAAATAACCAGCTAACATCATAATGACAGGATCAAATTCACACATAACAATATTAACTTTAAATGTAAATGGACTAAATGCTCCAATTAAAAGACACAGACTGGCAAATTGGATAAAGAGTCAAGACCCATCAGTGTGCTGTATTCAGGAAACCCATCTCACATGCAGAGACACACATAGGCTCAAAATAAAAGGATGGAGGAAGATCTACCAAGGAAATGGAAAACAAAAAAAGGCAGGGATTGCAATCCTAGTCTCTGATAAAACAGACTTTAAACCAACAAAGATCAAAAGAGACAAAGAAGGCCATTACATAATGGTAAAGGGATCAATTCAACAAGAAGAGCTAACTATCCTAAATATATATGCACCCAATACAGGAGCACCCAGATTCATAAAGCAAGTCCTGAGTGACCCACAAAGAGACTTAGACTCCCACACATTAATAATGGGAGACTTTAACACCCCACTGTCAACATTAGACAGATCAACAAGACAGAAAGTCAACAAGGATACCCAGGAATTGAACTCAGCTCTGCACCAAGCGGACCTAATAGACATCTACAGAACTCTCCACCCCAAATCAACAGAATATACATTTTTTTCAGCACCACACCACACCTATTCCAAAATTGACCACATGGTTGGAAGTAAAGCTCTCCTCAGTAAATGTGAAAGAACAGAAATTATAACAAACTATCTCTCAGACCACAGTGCAATCAAACTAGAACTCAGGATTAAGAATCTCACTCAAAACTGCTCGACTACATGGAAACTGAACAACCTGCTCTTGAATGACTACTGGGTACATAACGAAATGAAGGCAGAAATAAAGATGTTCTTTGAAACCAACGAGAACAAAGACACAACATACCAGAATCTCTGGGACGCATTCAAAGCAGTGTGTAGAGGGAAATTTTTAGCACTAAATGCCCACGAGAGAAAGCAGGAAAGATCCAAAATTGACACTCTAACATCACAATTAAAAGGACTAGAAAAGCAAGAGCAAACACATTCAAAAGCTAGCAGAAGGCAAGAAATAACTAAAATCAGAGCAGAACTGAAGGAAATAGAGACACAAAAAACCCTTCAAAAAATTAATGAATCCAGGAGCTGGTTTTTTGTAAGGATCAACAAAATTGATAGACTGCTAGCAAGACTAATAAAGAAAAAAAGAGAAGAATCAAATAGACGCAATAAAAAATGATAAAGGGGATATCACCACTGATCCCACAGAAATACAAACTACCATCAGAGAATATTACAAACACCTCTACGCAAATAAACGAGAAAATCTAGAAGAAATGGATAAATTCCTCGACACATACACTCTCCCAAGACTAAACCAGGAAGAAGTTGAATCTCTGAATAGACCAATAACAGGATCTGAAATTGTGGCAATAATCAATAGCTTACCAACCAAAAAGAGTCCAGGACCAGATGGATTCACAGCCGAATTCTACCAGAGGTACAAGGAGGAGCTGGTACCATTCCTTCTGAAACTATTCCAATCAATAGAAAAAGAGGGAATCCTCCCTAACTCATTTTATGAGGCCAGCATCATTCTGATACCAAAGCCGGGCAGAGACACAACCAAAAAAGAGAATTTTAGACCAATATCCTTGATGAACATTGATGCAAAAATCCTCAATAAAATACTGGCAAAACGAATCCAGCAGCGCATCAAAAAAGCTTATCCACCATGATCAAGTGGGCTTCATCCCTGGGATGCAAGGCTGGTTCAATATACGCAAATCAATAAATGTAATCCAGCATATAAACAGAGCCAAAGACAAAAACCACATGATTATCTCAATAGATGCAGAAAAAGCCTTTGACAAAATTCAACAACCCTTCATGCTAAAAACTCTCAATAAATTAGGTATTGATGGGACGTATCTCAAAATAATAAGAGCTATCTGTGACAAACCCACAGCCAATATCATACTGAATGGGCAAAAACTGGAAGCATTCCCTTTGAAAACTGGCACAAGACAGGGATGCCCTCTCTCACCACTCCTATTCAACATAGTGTTGGAAGTTCTGGCCAGGGCAATTAGGCAGGAGAAGGAAATAAAGGGTATTCAATTAGGAAAAGAGGAAGTCAAATTGTCCCTGTTTGCAGATGACATGATTGTATATCTAGAAAACCCCATTGTCTCAGGCCAAAATCTCCTTAAGCTGATAGGCAACTTCAGCAAAGTCTCAGGATACAAAATCAATGTACAAAAATCACAAGCATTCTTATACACCAACAACAGACAAACAGAGAGCCAAATCATGAGTGAAATCCCATTCACAATTGCTTCAAAGAGAATAAAATACCTAGGAATCCAACTTACAAGGGATGTGAAGGACCTCTTCAAAGAAAACTACAAACCACTGCTCAAGGATATAAAAGAGGATACAAACAAATGGAAGAACATTCCATGCTCATGGATAGGAAGAATCAATATCGTGAAAATGGCCATACTGCCCAAGGTAATTTACAGATTCAATGCCATCCCCGTCAAGCTACCAATGACTTTCTTCACAGAATTGGAAAAAACTACTTTAAAGTTCATATGGAACCAAAAAAGAGCCCGCATCGCCAAGTCAATCCTAAGCCAAAAGAACAAAGCTGGAGGCATCACACTACCTGACTTCAAACTATACTACAAGGCTACAGTAAGCAAAACAGCATGGTACTGGTACCAAAACGGAGATATAGTTCAATGGAACAGAACAGAGCCCTCAGAAATAATGCCGCATATCTACAACTATCTGATCTTTCACAAACCTGAGAAAAACAAGCAATGGGGAAAGGATTCCTTATTTAATAAATGGTGCTGGGAAAACTGGCTAGCCATATGTAGAAAGCTGAAACTGGATCCCTTCCTTAGACCTTATACAAAAATCAATTCAAGATGGATTAAAGACTTAAACGTTAGACCTAAAACCATAAAAACCCTAGAAGAAAACCTAGGCATTACCATTCAGGACATAGGCATGGGCAAGGACTTCATGTCTAAAACACCAAAAGCAATGGCAACAAAAGCCAAAATTGACAAATGGGATATAATTAAACTAAAGAGCTTCTGCCCAGCAAAAGAAACCACCATCAGAGTGAATAGGAAACCTACAAAATGGGAGACAATATTCGCAACCTACTCATCTGACAAAGGGCTAATATCCAGAATCTACAATGAACTCAAACAAATTGACAAGAAAAAAACAACCCCATCAAAAAGTGGGCAAAGGACATGAACAGACACTTCTCAAAAGAAGACATTTATGCAGCCAAAAAACACATGAAAAAATGCTCACCATCACTGGCCATCAGAGAAATGCAAATCAAAACCACAATGAGATACCATCTCACACCAGTTAGAATGGCAATCATTAAAAAGTCAGGAAACAACAGGTGCTGGAGAGGATGTGGAGAAATAGGAACACTTTTACACTGTTGGTGGGACTGTAAACTAGTTCAACCATTGTGGAAGTCAGTGTGGCGATTCCTCAGGGATCTAGAACTGGAAATACCATTTGACCCAGCCATCCCATTACTGGGTATATACCCAAAGGACTATAAATCATGCTGCTATAAAGACACATGCACATGTATGTTTATTGCGACATTATTCACAATAGCAAAGACTTGGAACCAACCCAAATGTCCAACAATGATAGACTGGATAAAGAAAATGTGGCACATATACACCATGGAATACTATGCAGCCCTAAAAAAGGATGAGTTCATGTCCTTTGTAGGGACATGGATGAAATTGGAAATCATCATTCTCAGTAAACTATCGCAGGAACAAAAAACCAAACACCGCATATTCTCACTCATAGGTGGGAATTGAACAATGAGATCACATGGACACAGGAAGGGGAATATCACACTCTGGGGACTGTTGTGGGGTGGGGGGAGGGGGGAGGGATAGCATTGGGAGATATACCTAATGCTAGATGACGAGTTAGTGGGTGCAGCACACCAGCATGGCACATGTATACATACGTAACTAACCTGCACAATGTGCACATGTACCCTAAAACTTAAAGTATAATAAAAAATAATAATAAATAAAAAAAAAGAAATTATTCTGGAGGGTAGATAATAAATAAACTTGAAGGCTGTATTATATATGATCATGTTTAGTTATCCATAACAGTATGATGTGGAAGAAAACAGGAAAACAAAGCAAAATTATTTTTATTACCCAAATTCTCACTAATATACATATTCTGATCTTCATTGCAAGAAGAAAACAAGAATTTTCTGTATGATAAAAACTAGAATCCATGTACTAGTAAGAATGACAACAAATATGTTCCTTGCCTTCACCTTCAAAATCGACTTAATGAGACTTATTAATATCTCTTCTTGATTCTTCTTGTTTTTTACTATTTCTCTTTTTCTGATCTTCACTTGAAGTGGTAAGTTTCCTGACGTCTCAACATTTGTATTTTTATTTTTCCTCCTACCCCATAAGAATTCTCATCACATGCTAATTCATTTATTTAATTATATCATGTGGCAATTTTCTTTATTGTAAAAGGGTCTGAACTCACAAGAAAATCTCTAAATAAAAGGTTGTAAAACTTAACAAAATATTATTGAATTGTTTCAGAATGCAATATAGTGATCTTGGGAATCCAAAACTTATGAAAAGTGTTTGATTTCAAGTCTACAAAAAGTTTGAGAAATTACCTCTAGAAAGATAGACTATTTGGCTTATAGCTAGCAGATAATTTTACATTAAACAGAATAAGGAAAACATACAAAAAAGTTATATCACTAACACCTTTAAAGGGCTGAATCTATATATGTATAACCTTGAATATTAATTTAATACACTCTGAGTAGTGGGGTAGAACAAATATAGAAAAGATTTATGAAATTTTCATTTACCAGTTACTAAGTACCACAACAGATATATTTCTTGCCTTCACCTTCAAAATTGACTTAATCAGATTTACTAATATCTCCTCTTGATTCTTCCCCTTTTTAACTATTTATCTTCTTCTAATCCTCTCTTGACCTGGCAACTTTGTAGTGACTTTATTACTACCAAATTAATTTGCATGTTTAAGAATAGAATTTATAAAATCAACAATTGAAAAAACTTTTTTATAATTCAGCTTAAAATATATTGATATAGTATGTCTTAGAAATGAATACAATCATAATCATGCAATATTATTTATCACTTAACTCTCTCATGCCTAGAGTTGACATTTAGATGTACCTAGAAATAATTCTACGGTGTGCTACAAAACCTTGATGAAACCAGTTACAAATCAGTCAATATCATAGTTGCTAACAATTCAAAGTAATATCAATTCAAAGTAATATCAAATTACTTTGATAACAATTCAAAGTAATATCAAATGAGACCTAGGATCTCAAACTTATAGTAAAGAACCTAGAAATCATGTGTTGAATAAAAACATGTAATTCAAATTCTTCACCTACATGAAAATGCTTGTTCACACATATTGGAGTGTCACCATCTCTGACCACCCATACTGCAATTTAAAATAATGGTTTGGCCTTTACTGCAATTAGACTGCGAAGTCTAATCCAGTTTTAAATGATGATGTAATGAGTGGCTTGGAATAAATACCAATCTTATTTTTTCCAACAATTTGCTTTGATAAAATAGTACAGAAAATTAGGATTTCTCTCTGAACCTGTCAGGCCAAAGATGACCAAAGTTAACCAACAATAAATGTACAACCTTTGTAGTTCTCTCAGAAAATATTGGTAGAGCAAGTATAAAAGTTTTATGAAATCATAAAAGTAGGGCATGATACAAAGAAAACCATTTTATACCCACAGAGCAAGACTGAAGACATCTGAGTAGGTGGAAAAGTTACCTTGTGATACTATGCCCTATTCACATATTGTGAAACTCGGGGATTGAAATTCAACTACAGTGAAGACCATACTAAGAACTCATTACAAAGTCTTTGTGTTTTTTGGGTGACATTGAAATTTAACTGGAAAGTCAAAAATATTGGATAAAAATTGTTACATATGAAGGGAATAAAGGACTCAAATCTGGGTAGTTGATTTGACTTATATGGTCTATCTGCCAGTTGCATACTTGTTTCTTCTATTAGGAATTAGAAGATAATTGTATCATGAATGCTCTAAACTGAAACTGTATACAGACCAAGTAGAAGATTAAAATTATATGGACTGGAGAGATGTTGGTTTGGAATAAGGAGACAGCTATTTTCTAAGTTCTAAGATACATTTTAAAAATGTTTCCTTCTGTATATTTTTATTCAATCAGTGAATGTTTATTGAACATCTACTACATGCCTCTTCTGAGAATACAGCAGTAAACAAAATAGACAAAAGAAGCTGTTCTCTTGGAGATCACATTCTACTTGACGGCTATATTCAACTGTACCTGATATTGGCTCTTGGATGTCTAAAAGGCATTTCAAACTTGACAGGTCCAAATAATTATTTATTTATCTCTCTTTCAAACTTATTTTTCCTCCAGTCTTTCCTATCTCAGTAAGTGGCATCTCTATTCATCCTGCTGCTTATGCCAAAAACTTTGGGGTTATTCTTTCATTTCCTTACAATACACATACAATCTCTTTATCATGAAATACTACTACTTTTACCTTCCAAATATATTCCATATCTGTTTTTCAACACCTATTTCTATAAGAAGAAGGAGAGAGAGAATATAAAAAGGAACGGAGAAAGACTGTATATAATTAGTTACTCAAGTTAGAAATTCAGTCAAAACTAATAGGGACAAAAAGATTATTTAAAATAGATATTGTTTTCTAGATTTGATTTTTGTATCTGCATATCTTAGTAATTATAAAACAATTAAATTAACATGTAATCACTAAATATAAAATTCAAAAGGTAATTTTACTTTTGATAGCCTCTGAAATGTTCTCAAAATAATGACAATCTGGCAGGAAAAAACACTTCCAGTGTTCTTTGCTTTCAATGTTTTGTTTTCCTAGAAAAGGAAGCAGGGTTCCTTGGGGAAATTGCAGCCTTGAAGCAACCTCTGTCAGCCTAGAAACAACTTAAAAAAAATCTGAGATAGCAAAAGAGATATTAAACATCATGCCAAGGTCATACGAAAGAACTCAGTAGTAACTGATGAGTCTCTCAGTGGATGAACGTAGAAAAAAACTTTAGTATCAAAAATAAAATAATTGAGTTATGTAAAATACATTTAAGTATATGAGTTTTTCATGATGTTTAAAAAAGAAATAGTGGCCACGCATGGTGCCTTACACCTGTTATCCCAGCGGTTTAAAAGTTTGAGGTGGGAGGATCACTTGAGGACAGCGCTTTGAGGCCTGTCTGGGAAACAGTGAGATTCTCTGTGTTTACAAAAATAAAAATAATTAGCCAGGTGTGGTGGTGTGCACCTGTAGTCCCAGATGCTTGGGAGATTGTGGTGGGAGGATTGCTTGAGCCCACATAGAAGATCAGACAATGTTTATTTTTATGGGAGAACTGCAGGTGATAAACTGATAAAAATACAAAATTAAAATATTATCTTAAATACTTTAATGAACAAATGAACTTAGACATTGATCAACAATGACGGCTAACACAAAGAACAAGACAGACATTATGTGCTTCATTTTAGGTAAACATAACACTATCTGTGAAACAGTATTGTTAAAAAGGGAAGAAAAATAACACAATAAATCTAAATTACATCAAGCTTTCAATTCTAATCTATAGGAGAATAATGAGGAGAGAAGAACATATTAAAGGACACATGAGGGATGTAATCAGCAAAATCTAAACTGCAGAAAATTATC
The DNA here is from genome assembly GCF_000001405.40 of Homo sapiens. Lineage (NCBI taxonomy): Eukaryota > Metazoa > Chordata > Mammalia > Primates > Hominidae > Homo > Homo sapiens. Next base: position 57,428,467 of record NC_000002.12, read on the forward strand.
CTGGACAAAGTACCTTGTTTCTGATTCAACAAATAAATTTCAAGAAATAAAAAAGGCAGAGGGAAGCCCATATACTAAACTGGACTTAAGAGATGTATCAACTCATTGTTCATTGGACACAGGAAGGGGAACATCACACACCACGGCCTGTTGTGGGGTGGGGGGAGGGGGGAGGGGGGAGGGATAGCATTAGGAGATATACCTAATGTCAATGATGAGTTAATGGGTGCAGCACACCAACATGGCACATGTATACATATGTGACAAACCTGCACGTTGTGCACATGTACCCTAGAACTTAAAGTATAATTTAAATATATATATATATATATATGAGACGTATCAACTGATTGCAATGTCTAGAACTTAGTTTCTGATTTTAAAACAAGAAACTAAAAATAATTGTGGCATTTGTGAGAAAACTAGGAAGTTTGAACAATGATTGGATGTTTTCTGATATTAAAGATTTATTGTTAAGTTTGTGGAATAAAACTATTATGATAACCTTTATAAGAGAAAAGCATTAATCCTTCAGAATAAGACATTGAAATACTTATAGATGAAATAACAACACAACATTTTAGATTTGCTTCAAAATGATATGAAAAGGGGAAATTGATAGGAGTCTTAATAACACTAGATGAGCCAGATATTGATAATTGTTGAAGATGAGTAATGGTGAAGAATTTACTATAATCTTCTTTCAATTTCTATGTATGGTTAATTTTTTCTACAATAAGTGGTTAACAAACATATATATACAAGCAAAATAACATGATCTAAAATATGTAAGTAAAGTTTTTGAGACAAGAAAGCCCGACTGTCTTCCTTCAGTTGTCAGGTCATTTACTAAGTGTTTGTAATCATTTTAAATCAGACAAAATGTCACACTGAGGCTCCATATATATGTACACATAGTTGATTAAAGACATTATTTTCACAGCAGTAGAATTTACATTATTTTTAGAAAAAAAACTTCATGTGTCAGTACTTTTAATGTTGGGTACATCGCATTATAGAAAAAAGATAATCATAAACCAGATGCAGTTCTATTTTTGTTAAAGGTACAACTGTATTAAACCAATTTATATTCCATCATCAAGAGAGGTTCTCTCATTACTTCACTTTGTGATGGATCAATAAGAATATCTTTGAATCCACTAGTCTCAGCATGCCCCCTCCAAACATCCAGTGAAAGATTTGAACTGGAATGAAGTGGAAGATGCTGCACTTATGGCCCTGCCCTGAATTCTATTTGTCATTTTACTGGGGCAAATAGACCCTGGATGTTTCTTAATGTGGAGAAAGGCATTTTATTTTGTTTGAGCTGTATATGAAGTCTACTAGGGCTAGCATAACAAAATACCACTTACTGGGTAGCTTAAACAGAAATTTATTTTCTGCCATTTCTGAAAGCTGAAAGGCCAATATCAAGGTAATGCCAGGGTTAGTTCCTCTTTAGGTCATTTTCTTTGACTTGATGATAACCACCTTCTCACTGAGTCTTTATATGGTCTTTCTCTGCTCACATGCATTTCTGGTGCCTCTTCATCTTCTCATAGGGAAACACACTGAAATAGAACTCCACTCTTATGACCTCATTTAACCTTAATTACCTCTTTAAAGTTCCTATCTCTAAATATAGTCACATAGGAAGTTAGAATTTCAACATATAGTTCAACAGTATGACTAGGCAAAAGTCCATTTTTCGTACACACAAAAATCATTCTGAAGAAGATCAGACTTTGTTTTTAAAATTTTTATTTGTTTATTTATTGTTATTTATATATTATTACTTTATTTTAGGTTTAGGTTTGTTATATAAGTAAATTGCATGTCACGGGGTTTGGTGTACAGATTGTTTTGTCACCCAGGTCCTAAACATAGCTCCCCATAGGTAGTTTGATAATCCTTACTCTCCTCCCACCATCCACCTCAGGTAGGCCCTAGTGTCTGTCATTCCCTTCTTTGTGTCCATATGTAATTAATGTTTATCTCCCACTTATAAGTGAGAACATGCAGTATTTTGTTTTCTGTTCCTATGTTATCTCACTTAGGATAATGGCCTCCAGCTCCATCCATGTTGCTGCAAAAAACATTATCACGTTCTTTTTTTATGGCTGCACAGTATTTCATTGTGTATAGGTACCACATTTTCTTTAACCAGTTTACAAACAATAACTGGAATACCACCCATTAGCTGAAATTCAAGTCCTCTGGCATTCATCTTCGGTCCTTTCTATGCACAGCCTCTCAGCCTAGTTTACCCTCAGCTTCTGGTCTTGCACTACCATTCCGGGGGTTGCCCTCCCAACATCTGCTAGCACACATTGTTTCAGAATAGCATAGCTTTGCAGTCAAAAAGATTTAAAAGTTTGAATCCTACCTCTTTTACTTACTGTGTAATTTTGAATAAGTTAATTAGCATCTGTGTAGTTGTCCAGTATAAATATTTATAAAATGGAATAAGCAAGGTATTTGCCTTTCAGAACCTGATTTATTTAAAAAGTAAAAATTATTTTAAAATAATTATTTAAAGAATTATTTTAAAAGAAAACAATTATGATTTTGCAAAATGCTTTTAAATAATGATTTACATTAAATTGAATGGGAGACTTTGGGCTCAGCCATTAATGCAAAAAAAAAAAAAATAGAGCAGATAGAAGGCCATTGCTTCCTTCATAAAACTTGTCTAAGGCAAATCAGAAGTACTTATTTCTTTTTTTTTTTTTTTTTTTTTTTGAGACGGAGTCTTGCTCTGTCGCCCAGGCCGGACTGCGGACTGCAGTGGCGCAATCTCGGCTCACTGCAAGCTCCGCTTCCCGGGTTCACGCCATTCTCCTGCCTCAGCCTCCCGAGTAGCTGGGACTACAGGCGCCCGCCACCGCGCCCGGCTAATTTTTTGTATTTTTAGTAGAGACGGGGTTTCACCTTGTTAGCCAGGATGGTCTCGATCTCCTGACCTCATGATCCGCCCGCCTCGGCCTCTCAAAGTGCTGGGATTACAGGCAGAAGTACTTATTTCTATTTATTATTTTATATATCCTAAGGTCTATATTTAAGGTCTACACTTACCTTATTTTTAAATAAAGTTGCTCAACTTGAGAAAAAAAGTCACTGCTTTGCTGAGGCATTTATACATTCGTAATACATATTTCAGATCTAAAGTCATATATGGTGAAAAGAAATCGCCCTTACTCTCTTATTCATCCAGGTTCTATTCCCAGAAATAACTACCACTACTACTATCAATGTCTTGAATGTGCTTGTAGAAATATCCTATATATTTACAAACAATGAATGAGATTGTTTGTTTCTGGAGGTGTCATTAATTATATTGAACAATCAGTACAGCACCGATACTAACCCATCAGAATGGATTTTGGCCCTAGCAATGGTCAGGGTCCTGCAGTCCCCTGCTTAGGAAACTTGCCTGAGGTCAGTAGATCAATATGTGGCTCATGTTAGGATAAGGTCTAGGCAGTCATTACCCAAACTCTGTGCTAAGCACCTGGAAGTCAAAAAGGGAAGTAAAAAGGGAACATAGGTTTAAGATGAGAGGTTATAGAGGTGTATTTTATATATTTTACTGCTTTTCCTGAACAAACTATTTTTATTGTCAGGGATGTCATACTTATTGCAAGCCCATGCAGATAATCTAGTTTTATTAGTAAGAACTTTGGCAACAGTGTTTTGTTCCTTAGAAAAAAATTACCCCTGCAATGCAGTAAAATAGTAAATAGGGGTAAAAATAGTTTGTTACTTATTTTTCTGCTAAACTTCAAAATATCTTATCAAAGAAATCCATGTTCCCGCTGTGTAGATAAAGAAACTGATGCTTAGAGTGATTAAGCAGCTGCTCAGAGCCCAGGGCAAAGATCTAACCCATATCCGTGTGATAGCGATTTCAATACCAAAGGTTTCTTAAATTTGACTAATCAGCTTCTTAATGCTGACTTCCTGAGTAAAGACCTATTTTCTCACCTAAAATTAATATTTCCTAAGCTTTAAGAATTTTTAATTTGATTTTGTTTTTTCATCATGCCCATATTCCTCCCTTGTTCCCTTCCCTAAATTTCCTAAGAATTGCCATTTTCTAGGATTTCAGGATGAAGCTCTCTTGTCTGATCACATTTTTTTTTTACTTTTTTCTAACTTTAGAAATGCAGCCAATGAGAATTTTGAACAGTTTCTCTTCAGATTTAATTTAGATCATATACATGACTCATTCAGCCACCTCAAGTCCTTTCATGAATAGGCTCAGAAGTAAGGCACTTTAGGTTTGATGGGTCTCAAGTCTCACATAATGCACTGTTCACTTTCAAGTGTGTGTATTCAGAGCCATTCCTTTCTAAACCTCAAAGTCGAGAGACATATTCCTATAAAAGAATTTCCCACACTACCACTGTTAAGTCCATGTGAATATAGTAAGAGATAATAGAGAGAAATATGCAAAGAAGCACAATTTGCACAGGCTAAAACAAAATAAAATGTCAAGTCATATTTATGTCCCTCTTTTCCTTTCACTCACTTATATTAATCAGATATTGAAAAAAAAAACTGTCAGCTCATAGGTGGTCTCAGAGCTTTCTGTCTTTCAAATAACTTCTGCTAGTTGGTGTGCCCTTAAGACAGCATGGTAGAGTACAAAGCAGAGTAGCTGGATGGGTTCCAGCTCTTGCTAATAGGTGACTCTAGGCAACCATTCTCTGATCTTCAAATTCAACTTTCATAACATAATCATGATAATATTTATTTCTTAGGACTGTTTAGGAGATTAAGTGCTCTGTGTAAAATGTTTCATAAACTGTAAAACACATAAAATGAAGGCTGTATTTACAATCTCTGACAAATGTGTGTTCCTTTTGGCAAGGGGGTCTTGTCACAAAACCTCATTCTTTGTCGGCTACACTTAGGAATCTATAAAAATATTTTAAACTACTTTCAAATTAGGAATATAAATTATATCCATGGTGGGGTGGGAGGGCTGGAAATGTAACACCATGATGGAGTGAGGCATGCAAGGGCCAGGCATAATGTTTCTGGGAACTTTAACAGTATGGTCTCTAGTATGTGGGTAAAATCTTAACATGTGAAGAAACCTTTTCAGAAGGGAAATGGAGACCAAGAACTATAAAGTTCTTTGTTTAAGGCAAGAAAAAGAATTACTGGCAAAACACTGTACAACCCAGAACCCAAGATTCTCAGATATAGCCTTTACTTCCCTCCTCAAACATATGCTCTGTCTTGAAAACACCAATACCAGAGTTTCAGGTAATGAGCAATGCTGCAGTAGAAGTCTTTGGGAACAGACAGCTCTTCCCAGCTAACTCAATTCATACCATTTAGTCATTCTCAAGACTAAATCTGTTGCTAACCATTAACACCTTTTAGGACTTGATGTTTGTAAACTGATACCAAAAAACTTGTATTTATAAATAACAAGGATCCAAGTTGGAGCTGATTACTTTTTCTTCCTTTCACCTTTAACATTTTTTCATATTTTTATTTTTTGTTAATTTATACTATGGAAGAACATATAAAGAAAAAAGCTTTCAATAATTTCAGAAGATCATTCTCAGACCTGAAGGTAATATTTATTCACTGAACACTAAACTACATAATTAATAAATAAGGAATGCAGAGAGCTTTATAGGTTAAATAGTTTTTGTCTCTGTTTTAAAAACAAGTGGAAGTTCTTTAAGTTATAGCTTGTATCTTACAATCAAAGAAAAATGCAAATATAAAACTTGTCCTCATTTTTTGAAATAGATGCATTCCTAACATGTATAATTTACTTTTTGTGAATCAAATGTTTCCTCATTAATTAAAGGAGCTTAATATTCACATTTTAAAAGTTGAATACTTTTGTAATGTGAATAATTATATTTAAATATATCTTGTTTACAAAGTTTAATGTTTTTTCTTAAATTGCTATAGTCTGGTAGCTTTATTAATTCTCTTATATAGACAAACAAACAAGACTACTTGAGAAGAATATTTTTTCACTATCATATTATTCAGTGTTACATATATTGTTAATATGACAGGATATAAGGAAAATAATTTTGACATTCATCTTCACGTTGCATAAATACTGAGGAAATTGAAACTGGGGAAGTTCTGATTCAAATGGGATGATCAACAGTAACCAATTTCTGAGGAATGAAGTTTCATTTTCATATGTTGAAACAGAGGAAAGAAGTGCCCAGGCAACTTAACAACACTCTTAGATCTCATCTTGGCTTTAACTCAAACCGAAAATACTGTTAAGTCCTTTAACATTTTTGAGCCTCTAATGTGCAAAATGAAGAATTTGAAACATCACAAGTTTCCAAGGTTTTTACTACAAATCTGCTTTAAAATCTATTTAAGCATTTTAAACTGATTTTAGAGTCTCACAAATGTTCAACAATAGTACAAAGAATTTATTTCTATATCTCATGCTGCTTCTTCTAATGTTAATATCTTACATAAGTATGGTAAAATTATCAAGAACAGGAAATTAGCATTGGTACAATATTATTAACTAAACTATAGACCTTATTTGAAATATAGCAAATCGTTCAATTTACCTTCAGAAGCACATACCCTAAAATATTGGATTAAAAGATTTCTAAGAATATACTCTCATTCATGATTCAATCCTGAGTCACAAAGCATGGTAACATCAATAGAAGAGGCCCAATTGCCTGTACAATGCCTGACCCACAAAATCACTAGGCAGGGAACAGATAGGGAAGAGGAGACAGATGTCAGTGACTGACTTGAATAACATAGGGTATGGGATCACACCCTATTCCCTATCTGGGAGACAGATGTCAGTGACTGACTTGAATAACATAGGGTATGGGATCACACCCTATTCCCTATCTGTCAAAGGTCAAAGTTGCTTAAACCAGACCAGAAAATTATAACCATTCTGCTTTTCTTCTTCTCCTCTTCTTTCTTCCTCTGATAACCAGCTTCAATGATTATAATTGGTATGTAAAATGGAAATTACAATGATTCAAGTTACATAATTCTTAAAGTTATACAAACTACTAAATTCTTAAAGTTAAAATTTCTCAGGTTTAACACTGGAGTAACTTTGGGAATGAAGTTGATAAGTTTGACAGAGAAATCCTTTAAGAAAAATGATGCATATTTTATAGTAATTTTAAGCAGAATATGTCTCAAATAATTTAATTTCAACCTCATAATCTTTAAAATATTTTGTGTACTTTACTTTCCAAACTTGATTTGAATTTTACATTTTAGCATCCATAATCAATGCAAAAGAAAAGTACGTAATCTTGGTTTAAATAGCTAGAGAGTGACATGTCTCATTGTCAGTTTGGTAGAATTGTACAAGTGCCCTGGCTCAGAATTTAAAATCTTCTGCATGGATTACATTCTAATTAACATCAAACCACAGTATCTTTCCTTAACTTTGTGACCTGTGGTTAAAGTGAAATTGTTCTTTTTATCCATTTCACTGTGGCTCTTCTTATCTTTGTGCTTGCCTAGGGTACAGCAAATTCTTAACTAGAGTCTGTAATTCTCATAGAAGTATTTTGGTCCATACATCATTGTTAAATCAGCATTTCTATAGGTGAACAAGGGCTGAGAATTTGTATCCCACCATCTTGCTGATGTCACTACAGGATTATTCTTAACTCGTCTCAATGCCTGTACTCTTTATTGATCATTTAATTTGTCCTGTTTTGTATATTTCAACATCTTTGATGTTTTTGTCCAGTGATCTTTGATGTATATTTTAAAACCTCAAAAATAACATTTCTTAAAACCCCAATAATACGTTCCATGGTTTCAGAAATTCTGTATTATAATTCTAGAAATTATTTTTAAATAATGTAACAACTAGATATTTTCCTACTTATTTTTAACAAGTAGTTATTGAAGGACTACTATGTAAGAGACAGTGATATCTTGCATTAGAAGTAATTTTATTTTTAGGATCCCCTGCACTCAGACCCAGTTCAACTCCCAAGGCCATTCCTGATGTGAGCCATGAAGTATTTGGGCAGTCTCTGCTCCCTTGCTTGGCTGGGCATCATTATTCTTATGGATCATCTGCCCGTAATGTGTGTCTTAACTGATGACTTAATTCCTTCATCAAACTTAAGTCCCAATCTTATATAAACACCCATTCCTAATTGTGCTAGCTCCTAGTTGCTTTTCTGCCTTTGATACTGTTTCTGATTTCTGATTAGACTATTTCCCTAGTACTCCTGACTGTTTTTATAACTAAACCTAGTCTTCTATTAAGTCCCTTGGACTAGACATGTCCCATACTTCAGCAAGTTGGCGAAGCACAGTTACATGAATGTTAGGAGTCTTATTTAACTATTTATCTTTTAAGTATACATGTCCCAAGTGCTTGTTCTGAAGGCCTGTGCTCAATTTATCTGCTGAAAAATTCCTCTATAACCACCCCTCCCCAATTAGATGTCTGAATCTCATTCTGCTTTTACCTGACATTTTGGACATTAATCCAGAAGAAATAAATGTTCTGTGTTCAAGACCTACAGTTCTGTTGCCCTTAATGTCCATCACCAGTTAACTGGTATAGTGTCAAGTTCCTTACTCTTTCCTCCTGTTCAAACTTACTGTAAATAACTGGTCATGCTCTACTTCTAACAGTGTGATAAAATATTCACAGCCTGGAAGAAAAACTTTACATGCTGAGCTCTTTAATAAGTAATACAGCATAGTGAAGACTGTCAGCTTTGCAGTGAAACAAACTGAGACTAAATTCTCTCCCACCAGTTGTAGTAGACAGAATAATGGCTCCTCAAAGATGTGTATGACTGAATCCCTGGAATCTATAAATAGATTATGTTACATGTCAAAGGGAAAGTAAGGTAGCAGATGGAATTAAGGTTGCTAATTAGCTGACTTTATGGTAGGGAGATTCGCCAGGATTTTTTTAGTGAGGTCAATATTATCACAAGAATTCATATAAGTAACAGAGGGAGTCTGAAGAGTTAGTGTCAGAATGATATGATGTGAAATAGAATCTACCAGCCCTTGCAGCTTTTGACAATGGAAGGAAACCAAGAATATAAGTGCCTCTAGAAGATGGGAAAAACATGGAATGAATTCTCCCTTAAAGCTACCAGAAAGGCAAACAGCCGTGTGGATACCTTGATTTTAGCCCAGTGCAACTCATTTTGGACTTCTGGCTTACCGACATGTAAGACAATACATTTGTGTTGTTTTAAGCCACTAAATTCATGATAATTTTTTTTGCAGTAGTACAAAACTAACACATAAATTACCATGTAGTTTTGATCAATTTACTCAACCATGCTAATCTTCAGTTCCCTCATCTAAAGAAGGGCTGTTGATACTATATTCCATTAAATCTAATATTCCATTAATTGTAATTAGTTATAATTTGAGAAAAATAGATGAAACACTATTTGTACATGAAGAAAATATACTGTCAATTTAACCTTGCTACAAAGCTTTCATCACACTTAGTATTTTTTGTTTTATACACATTTAAAGAGTTCTTTTAGATTTAACACTTAGATTTTTATCTTATCACTCATTTGCATACATCACAAATTAAAAATAGTTGTTACTAAAATATCTTCACTTTAAATGTTCCATTTTTCTGAACTGCTACAATTCAAGTCATAGATGTTATGCTTTATCAAAAATATTTTTTTTCTGTCATCAAGAACATTTATCATACAGTTTTACTTCAATTGTCCTCAAGATTTTCTTCCAATCCACTGGAACACATCTACAAGTTTTAATATGCATGCAGGCAATGCCGCAATGACCAGACTGCCACTTGACCAAAGGAGATTAAAAAATGCAAATGAATTCAGATATTTTAAAAAAATTTCCCCTTGCAATGAATAAAGCATGATAGAATGTAAATGCTCTAAACACAGAGGTATAAAAATTTTAGAGTCTTTGATATATTTTTTTTCTGTACAGTTTATTTTCTTTCCTAATGATGTTTTTCTTAGGTACAGGAACTCTGATGCACTAAACAGTTAAATAGTCAATGAGAGAAATCTAAGGAGATAGCTAATTCTTGTTTTTTGAAAGTAGCTAAAGATTATTAATAAGTGGGTAGAATACCAAAAATCGTCATATTGTGTATATATATATATACACACACACACACATATACACACATACATACATATACATATACATATATAAATACATATAGATATAGATGATGTAGATATCAGGGTGTTTCTTTTCCTCTTTCCATGCAAAAGCAATGAAAAATAAAGAGACCTACACTTTGAAGATAGGCAGTCATTTACAGCTGAATTAAATCTTTTATTCAATGTAATGATTATATAGTTTAGCCATATTGACATGTTCATATAAAAATTTTCAAGATCAATATTGAATTATATAAAAATAGATAGCAAAAAAATGTGAATTCATGGAAAAATAATTTGACCAAAGTTGGCTAGTGCATCAGAACAGAAAAACCCATTTTGAAAATTGAAAACTAGAAGTAGAGACTCGGTATGAAAGTTTATGTGTTTGTTTGTGTGAATTTTCCTTATTCTTTCTTTTTTTGTTATCTCTAGTTTTTGTGGACTTCTATAAAATGGTGATTATATTACAGACATACTTTTTTAATGAAAATCATGTGTCCGACTAAAGACTATGTGAAAATTGGTTTATGAAGGCATCTGCGGTAGGAAGATAGCTTCAAGCAGATTTTTGTTCTGGTATAAATAAAATTTGAGAATTGATGACTTGCAAAGTGCATGTGAGAATGGTAGAAAGATAATCTGAGTATTGATTATAATTAGTTTAAGTTAAAATGCCTTAAGACTATCTTGTTTTTCCCTCATTTCCGTGAACTTTTGGGAAGAATTACACACTTAACTGTCTCAAAATTATTTTCTGATTTCATCTGCCAACTAGGGCTTGATTATTTCACCTAAGCAGGCAAGATAAACTTTAAAGAGACTACCATGTTGCAAAAAATTTAAACCATTTAATTGCCATTTAAAAACTGGAGCAAATCTATGCTTATTGGAAGGCATATTTGCAAGTTCTTTCAATAAAATAAATTTTAATTCAGCAAAATAAAATTTATATAACAAGTGTTTGAGTAAATCTTGCTGCTTATTTCCTAGATAATCTGCTAAAAGACGAAAATATTTTCCACAGTGATTACAACTTTTCATAGTAATTATATCTGTGATTTTAAAATGAGCAGCCCTACCAGAGAGAGACCTAGAAGAAATGAGCAAGAAATACATAAAATGCAAAAGATAAATGACAAATATATATTAAAAACTGTATCTCATTTTGACTTGGGTGTTTATTGAAGTTTGACTGCAGCCATAATATTCTGTCCCAATCTGCCATTTCACTTTGATTGTATCTTTTAATGCTTAATCACTAAATGCCTCCTTTAACATTGTAACTGTCCTGCCTAGACTTGTGCATAAAAAGGTATAATATCATAACTTGACATCACATCTAGTCACCGTAAGAATATCAGTCATGTAATCAAGGAATGCCATTCAGAATTATTATTAATATTAACTTTCAAATGTAAGTAAGCTTCTGGATATCACTTATAATGGAGTTCTTACATTTAAGTGGCTGAAATTCTGTGATTCTATATGTTATTTGAAGTATAAATTTATACTTATCATTGCTTGGGTAAAATTCAGCAACAATTATGATTCTGAAAAGTGGCTAATTTTATACACTGCAACATTTGTTATTAACTTTTAAATAGTTACACAGAAATAAATTAGCAGACTATAAAACTGTTCAGAGAATGTGTTAACCAAGTAACATTTTAAAAATGTTACACACGTTTTTGAACTCATAAATTTTTAAAGTATGTAGAAAAAATTTTAAGTGTAAAAAAAATCAGGCAGAATAATAAAGATTACATTGTGTCATATTATTTTTCTATGGAATCTCTGGTATACCAGTATTTATAATATTAAACCAGTAAATTCAATAATTTTATTTATATTGAGATATTGAATTTCATTTAGGTTGTCAGTCTTTCAGAATAAACTCTCCATATCTTATGAAAAACACTTCAATCTATGCATTTGATAATAACTAATATGTAATTCAGACAAAATAAGTAATATAAATAATATGAGAAAAAATAAGTAATTACTAGGGTAAAATGAGATGTCAGCAAAAGCACTCTGCATTCCGCTAACTGTAGTGAAATATACTTATCATTATCTTATGGCAGAAATGCAGTATATTCAATTTAATAGCACAGATGCTGAGATATTATTGTTCTTCATAGCAATGTAACCTTTTTAAAAAATGACTCCTAAATTTCTACTAATATGGTTGTAAAACCTATCATTATTTTTGTTATAAATTTAGATAAAATATTCTCATTTTATGTCAAATTTATTCTGTGAGTGGTATTTGGTTTCACACTAAACTTCAGCCAAATGTTTCTACCTATGAGCTTTTGGTGTTTGACTAACGTGTATATTCAGTGAATATTAAAAAAAGGAAAACTCTTAAAGAAATTATGTTGGTTAGAGAAAGAAGCAAAGATGCTCTGACATCTTGAGGTAGGGATTTTAAATTCTAGCTTCACTGGAGAGCAGTTTCAAGACGTGTACTAAAAACAAAATTAAACATGAATATGCAAACAAGTTATGCAGATAATTACCTTCATGGAATTTGTCAAAGCATAGTATTAACTGATAGAGGCAAACTTCAGGCTATAAGAAAGTATAAAAAAGTTCATTTCAGGGTCAGTCTTTGTAATCCAAAAAAACAAGACAATCCTATTAAATATCCAACAAAAGAATACTATGCAGCCATTAATAATGAAAGAATTTTCAATGAATTAAATGATGTTTTCAATATACTGTTAAGTGAAAAAGTGTTTAAAAATACAGGACAATGCCATTTTTATAGTTCTATTACAGACCTATTATTCTGGCATAATTATTTACACTTCATTTTATTTTCAAACTGTTTCATATTATAGAATTCTTATTTGCAATGAAGCTATGGTTCCACTGGTCTCTGAAGAAAAAACTTAAATTGCTTTCTTAATTACATTCAGGCTATAATTTATACAGCACCAGTAATAATGTTAATCCTGTATTGAGGAACTTAGCAGAAAACAATTTGTCTGTAGGCTTCATTGGTGCTGCGATTCTGCATCAATAAGGTCTCCAACACAGTCTGTGCTCTATTTGATGACAAATATCAGGGATTGTCAACCTTATTACCAAGAGTACACCAAATCACAGGGCTGAGCTCCTTTCCAGAACTTTTCCTATCTTGGGGAAAATAAAAATTTTCAAGGTGCTTGGTAAGGGTCAAGGATTCTCACAGATAAATAAAAACTATTCAATAATAATTCTTAAAAAGAGGAAGAAAACAACATCTTACTCCAATTCAACCAAGGCCAAAGACTTCCATAGTATTTTATAAACAGAGCAATTTCCCTAATAGCATGTTTTTACCTTATGAAGTACTGAAGCTCAAAGAATCAAAGGAATGTACAAGAGTGGAATAAAATGACAAATGAAGATTACAAGCAAGATTTCATTAATCACAATTGACATCAAAATGGCACCTGAGAAAATTTATCTATTTGAATAAAAAGATGATATCCCAAATTCACTGATTATAGACCAGACTTAGACAAGTAAGGCCTATAGTGTATATGTTTCCAGAACAACTGATCTTGCTACGCACAGTTTATATTTTGCAACTTGTGTTACTTCAGAAGAGTTCATTTAGTCTTTGTATTAGTTGAACAGAACTGTGATAACTGCCAATAATACAGGGTATACATTATTTACTTATCTATCATGTCCATGGTCAATATTTTGCTGGAATAGAAAATTTTTGGTAAAGTAGTTGAGTTTTTATAAAGCATTTGTTCAGGCCCAGAGCATTAATAAAAAACTTTTTGTGTGTGTGTTTAGAGAAAATAATATCTAATCTGCATTTTACGCTATCAGGAGTTTGAAAAAGTGTTTTATTTTAAGAGAGTGGAAAAATTATTACATATACCAAACTATGTCTATTTATTCACACAATCAGTGAAAAAGTTAAACTGCAAAGTATCTTTTGTTAATTTTTGTTTTTGAGACGAAGTTTTGTTTATGTTGCCCAGGCTGGAGTGCGATGGCCCGATCTCAGCCAGGTTCAAGCAATTCTACTGCCTCAGCCTCCCGACTAGCTGGGATTACAGGCGCCCACCACCATGCCCAGCTAATTTTTGTAATTTTAGAAGAGACAGGGTCTCACCATGTTGGCCAGGCTGGTCTTGAACTCCTGACCTCGGGTGATCCACCTGCCTCAGCCTCCCAAAGTGCTGGGATTACAGGCATGAGCCACTGAACCTGGAATCTTTTCTTAATTTTATAATGCAAAATACCTGCTTTAACTCCTTCACAGAATATACTAATAATCATAAAATCAATAATTCAGCCCCCAGTAAGTACATAGAAAAATATCTAATAATTTAATTCTTTTTAATTAATATTAACATTTTAGTAACATTATTCTTAAAGTAGTATTATTAACAAACAGACACTTAACCTCTATGCCAAAGCTAAATATGATAAAATATACCCAGAATAATGACTATCTTTATAGAATAAAAAGTTCAAGCTTCTTTAAGTATTTGGGAAAAGGTGAGATAGGTAAAAAATAAATTGAAATGCTTAATGAAAAAAATTGAAATAGTAAGGATTTACTTATCAGAATTTTCTGAGACTAGTGGCATCTTGGAAAACTTGAATAATTCAGAAGAAAAGCAGAAATACTACATCAGCACATTGCCGTGTAACTTCCCTGTTGGCTAGAAGTGGCTTGGAAAATGACTGTGGAATATTGCAAACTTGCATGGTGATGCCAATTGCAACTACTCACCTGGAACAGGAGTTGGCAACCTACAGCCTATGGAGTGTTTTAGGATGGTCCAAGAACTAAGAGTGCTTTTTACATTTTTCTTGTCCTATTAAAAGCAAACAAGAAGACTACGTAGCCTAAAGTCTAAGCTATTTATATCTAACCCTTTACAGAAAAAACTTAATGATCCTATCCTGAAAAAAAAAAATGCTTTCATTTTAATTCTTATCAACAATGATAACTTTAAACCATTTTGATGCGGCAGTGACAGCATCTTCACTGTTTTACCACCTGCTCTTAGACATATTAATAATACAGGATCAAGGGATCTCTGATGATCATGATTTACCACAGAACCATACAAGTTCATTAGGCTGATGACATTATGCTGAGGCACCACTGTATCAGTGAAGTTTTTAGAAGTTTGGTAGCTTGTGGCCCATCAAGATGCCCATTCTAAGCAAAAGAAGAGTTGTTCCACTTTGCACAACTCACAACTAACAAGAGACATAGTACTTGTTGGACCTTGTGGATTTTAAAGACAGCACTTGCTGCATTAGTGTGTGATACTCTGACCCATTTACCAGACTGCCCATTTTGAATACAATCTCGAATATAAAAGACCCTGCAGCAGTTCCCAGGCTCAGATGTAAGGTACTTTGCTCCTCATGCCTTATGACTAAATGACCACATGGTATTCAAAGTGTCTGGGGCAGACTGAGATGTTACATAAAGTCTTTGGAAAACCGCAAGAGGAGAACCACATCACAAGTTTTGGAGTAAGGTCATGCCCTCTTATGCTTAAAAAATGTCCTCTACTTGCAAAGTTATTAGGCCCTGGTAGAGACATAGTGCTGCCCATGAAAGAGCAATTGATTATGTGTCCCACGTTGTCTACAGTGACTTGAATATTGCATGATTCATCAAATTCTAAAATTAGACATGCACTTCAGCATTATTATATTGTGTAATAAAAATGACAAATGACACTGAGCAAGTCTGGAAAGCACTAGAAAGCTGCATGAGAAGGTGGCTCAGACTCCCATGACACATATTCCTACTCCTTTACGGCTTCTTCCTCCACCAACATGTATAGCCTCGGGGGGAGTTCCCTATGGTCAGTTAACAGATGAGGAATATACATGGGCCTGGTGACTAGATGGGTCTGTTGGTGCAACGGTGTCTGTGGACTTACACAATTACAGCCACTCGCAGATGTTATCCTGGAACTGGATCCTCTCAGTGGTCAGACTATCATTTGACACATCTGTTAGTGCATGTGATATAGAAGGGAAGAAATCCTGAAACACAGATACACACTGTTTCATGGACAGTGCCTAACAATGGGTAGCTAAGAACAGAAAAATCAACATTCGTAGATTTAGAACTAGGAGTTTAAAGAAAGAGGAAAATGGATAAACTATCAGAATGAACACAGAGTGTGAAGATATCTGTGTCCAATATATGCCTACTCAGGTTATGTGAAAATAAATGCCTGTATTATCCCAACCAGTAGTGATCCCAATCCACTGTAGGAGAGTCTCAATAATGGAATGGAATTGATGACTCATTCTCTGAATGTCAGGCAGTCACTTTTCCCAACAACTCTCCTGTTTCAAAGTGTGTACAGCAGACTCAACACCATGAACTTCCTCTCCCAAGGCTGATCTACAGTTACCACTGCTGACGGCCCATTCTGCCAATAGCAGAGGTCAATGCTGTGCACCTAATGGGCCATCGTTCCCTGATGAGACCAGACGACCACCAAATGGCAAGCTGATTACTTTTCACTTTGGGGGAGATAGTACGTTTCCCCACTAAGGAAGAGATGCATATTTCAGATATGGATTTCCCTTCCCCGACTACCATACTGTGGGCTTTCAGAATGACTTACTCATCACCATAATATGACACATGGCATTGTTTCTGATTTTTAAAAATCACATTGTAATGAAGAAAATATGGCAACAGACTTTCACAGAATTCCCAAGTTGTAGTGTATATTCCATCACCCAGATTCACACAGCTTATAGATTAGTAGAATGGCCTATTGAAGACTCTGTTAAGGTACCAGTGGGGAGAGAACACATTGTGAGACTGGGGTGCTGTCCTTTACATTATAGCTTATATAGCTTATAAACTGTAATTCAAGCATATGCAATTTATAAGCTGCTGCCTTACAGTATATTCTTTTTTTTTTTTTTTTTTTTTTTTTTTTTTTTTTTTTTTTTGAGACGGAGTCTCGCTCTGTCGCCCAGGCTGGAGTGCAGTGGCGCGATCTCGGCTCACTGCAAGCTCCGCCTCCCGGGTTCACGCCATTCTCCTGCCTCAGCCTCCCGAGTAGCTGGGACTACAGGCGCCCGCTACCACGCCCGGCTAATTTTTTGTATTTTTAGTAGAGACGGGGTTTCACCGTATTAGCCAGGATGGTCTCGATCTCCTGACCTCGTGATCCGCCCGCCTCGGCCTCCCAAAGTGCTGGGATCACAGGCGTGAGCCACCGCGCCCGGCCTAGTATATTCTTTAAGGTAGCACCTGGTACTTAGTGTTATCTCCCCCAGCATTAGAATGCATGTATTCACGAAAAAAGGGGTGAAGTGGGAATGACCGCTCTCATTATTTTACTTAATAATCCACTTGAGGAATATCTGTTTTCCATCGTTGCAGCCATTTACTCAGTAGATTTGGGTTCTAATGCCCAAGAAAGAATGATTCCACTGAGGGATTACAATCAGATTTTGGTTAAGTTGGAACCTGAGGCTGTTGCTCATCCATTACAGTTTCCTGGTGGTGCTGAGGAAAATGATAAGGCTTCTATTGAACAGGGTTATTAGATTACCCCAACCCAATTGAAGCAATAAAGTGTTTATCTGAAACCGAAGGAATTCACTGGAATAGTTTTTAATGGTCCTTTATCCAAAGGACTACCAAGTACCAAGATTATGTGGAAATAAACATTTGGATCACACCCCATCAAATAATGATCCCCATTCAGCCAAGATCCAAAAAGGGAGTGACGGGAAACTGGAGTGGGTTGTGGAAGAAGAAAATGAAATTATCAACTCAGGCCTAATGACTATCCATAGAAGTGGGCCTGTATTAGCTATGCTTTATGTTAATTATTTTTTCTTCCTCCATTACATGTTAGTAACAGCACTGATAAGGGCTGATGACTTAGGATTTACGTGATTGTATGATGAGAAATTGACATCATGTTGTCATTATACGATAACTGATGGAACTTGTATGTCTCCTGAGTTTACACAAAACTTTTCATCTGGCTGGAGGATTAAAGTGGATGTAGAAAGTTTTAATATGTGGACCATGCTGGAATAGTCTCCATTTGTCCCTACAAATCCACATGCCAGACTGCTTTGTGACTTTGGATGTCAATCTTCATGGACTACACAAACTAGGTTACCGTCTCCTCTAATTTCTGGTTGGTTCTGTCCAGAGGGAAAGCAGAGGAAAGAGGGAACTACAGCAATCAGAGGAGAGATAATTCTGGAAATTTATACTTTTGGCTTTATCCCTGCTAGGCTGCCAGTTATCATTATCATTGGCCATAGCTCCTGTTAGACAGCTTTTTTCCTACAGCTACTGGTCTCGCCAGTGTCTGATAACTACTAGCGCCCCTTGCATCTACAGGTCTAGTGCAGGTAGACCTAGAAACCAACTGTTTCTCAATTCATTGTTCTTTTTAACTCTGCCCACACATTTATAACAAATTATTTTATTAAAATTTCCTCATTTACCCCTCCTATAGGTGTCACCACCTTGGTTAGTTTCTTTACGAAAACCTAACTGATTTTGTGATGCATTTTACAAATGTATATCTACTTGGGTATTTGCTTATTAATGTTTTGGTTGCATTTGATATACTTATTTTAAAATGCTTTTAATGTAGTTGCATCAAACATCTTTTTTCTTGTAATTTCAATCTTTGTTTTAATGCTTAAAATAGCCATTTCAGCCAAATATTATTTACATATTCATCTATATTTATTTTAGTACACTTGTAGTTTTATTTTTAAATAAATCTTTAATGCAATTGAAAATATGCATATGAGATAATATTATAAGGTAGATACATGAGTTTTCTTTTTTTCTTCCAAGCACAATCAGATCTAGGTTATCAGATGGGCAATTCTCTCCTGATATGAAATACCCTTTTTATAATTCATTAAATTATTATGATTTAGATGCGTTAGCTTCTCCCTAGGGCTATTTAAAGAATCAAGTACCATAGTAGATTTAAAATATTAAATAAATAACAATTATTATTACTCAAGAATGCTTAACTCATTAAATAGATTGAAGATGGGTTTCCAAAATGTTATATGAGCCATCTACCCTTTTGGAGCAAGTGAATATGTACGTGATCCCTGACAAATTATTTTCTGTTTATTTAACTTAGCAATTCTGTTCAAATTTAACTAGTGTTCAGCACTTGGATTTTCATTTTGCACACTAGATGTATGCATTTCTGGAATAATTGAATAGTGTCTTACAACCTGAAAAAAATAAACATAAGCAGCACATGTTCATTGAAGGATTGCAGACAGCACGTAGTCCGTGGATTAGCTTGATTCAAAATGAAGCTTTAATTAGAATATATATTAGAACCAAACTTATAAAGCAGAGTAGGACCTGGAGTGGAGCCTGGACTCATTACTTACAGTCTAAATGGCAGCATTATCATACATCCTTCAGGAAGAACTTAGTCTTTATAATAGAAACAAAGCAATACCTGAGCTTCTGAACAAGATTTCTCTACACAAAGAAATATGTGTGAAACAATAAAAACCTGGAAAGCAATCTAGAGTGTGGTTGAATAAGCTATAGAAATTGCTATGAACTAAAATAAGTGAGGAGCAAAATATGGATTGAGTAATAAGAAAATTTGCCTAAAGCCACATGTCGGAGATAGTCTATCTAATTTACAACTTCTTTGCTCTAGTGACAAGTGGTTGACTGCTTTTTGGTTTTTATGTGTGCGTTTTTGGTTATAAAGTATAGCATTACAAGAAAAGTTATTTCCCTGTAATATCTCAAGTTATTCCCTAGAGAACAGATTTTTTTAAACAAAATGTACTCTGACCCAAAAACATTTGTATTCTAAAAGGGAGTTTCATGGGCACTGTCTGTCAGCATGCTCACTGTGTTTTGTTCTTTAAGAAGACATTAGTATACTCCAAACTTATCCAGATTGAGTAGGATAGATATAAATAAATTTCACTTATATATCATAAATGGGATTATAAAATTCATCAGTAAAATAATGATCTGGCAAAATATTTACTTTAGAAAACTATTAATAAGTCCTTACATATTTGGAATATAACAAATGATTAGAATAAACTGATAGCTCTTTTCTGGGGCAAATTTCATTCCTATAGTTTCAAGAAGAGTTGAAAACTTAAAGGAATAAAATTGTTTTTAATATTTCAAAACATATATATTAGTCAGGCTTTAAAAATAATGTATAATAAGAACCCTAATATCTCAGTAGCTTAAAATACCAGACATTTATTTTACACTCACGTGTCTGCTATTTGGCTGCAATTCAACAGATTTTGTCTGAGCTTGGATATGCTGGATGATATTACATTTGGGTTCAGATCTGCTTTGCATGCAGTCATTCTAGAAAACAACTGGAAGGAGTAATGAACGCCTGGGGCATGTTCTTCCATTGCAAATCCTTCCAAAATCCCAGCTCAGAACTAGCCTTCTGACACTGTTGCCCACAACCCAGCTGGCCACAGCCAGTCATATAGCCAAATTTTTTGCCTATGAACTGGAGAAGTACGCTTTGGCCATGCAGAGGAGTAGGCAGTTAATATGTGATGAGGAGTAACCTAACCTACCACAATGAGAATGAGCTGGTTTATGAGCTAGTTCAAATCTTCTACTAGAAGATAAAATGAGAGATTCCACTCCAATGATCGATATTCAACAAGTCTGAGAGGAAATTACACCCTATTAGACATTTTGTCTATTCAAAGACTTACACTTTGAGTGCAGAAAACAACATTATATCATATAGTCATCTCTTCTATTGGACAGGAGGTCTTGGGAATGTAAAGCGAAATTTATGATAGTAAAGGCAGTGTCAAATTAATGTGCAATATTCTTCTTAATTATCAGATTATTTGGCAAACTTTCCATTTAATGCAAGATGAATAAAAGTGTAGAGATTACCATACCTTCTTTAGTTATGAATCCAAAACTCCTTTTCATCAAAGTCTTTTAAAAGATAAGAAAAATGATACCTATATTATGGTGTTTGTTAATTCAAGTTTACTTGACTGCATAACTTTTCTGGTTTATAAATACAGTAATACAGCATATTTTTATTTTTCATTATAGAGATCAAATATTTGACTATTCTGTATGTTACAAGTTCAATCAGTTTTTTTTATTGACATTAGCACAAGGTGATCTTATATTATTCAAGGTAAAATGGTGATTCCAAATTAAGAAATGAGGTGATATTAAAGTTGTTTACTAACTTCTTTAGTCATAATTTATGTAAATTACCTCCTCAATAAAAACCACTAAAATATTTTTTATTTAGAAGAATGTTAATTCACCTTCTATACTGTGCTACTTGATTTTATTAATTGATATACTTCTTGTTGGATGATGTTATACTTAATCTTCCTTCAATATCCAGCTTATGTTCCACTTTCTCCATGAATTTTTTTTTAGATACGATGACCTACACTGATCTCATCTGTCTCTGACATCTCTTGGTTTTTGTAAATACTATTTTTTGTTGTTGTTGTTGTTCTCTGATGCTTATAATATCAGTTGTTCTTTCAAGTAGAAAAGCTTTGGTTATCTAGTGCTGCCTAAGAAATCCCAAACTTCTAGCAAAAACAGTAACTATTGTTTATTTTTCTTATCTCTCCTCATTCTGTGGTGACTAACCTTATCTAGGTGGTTGTCTCATATGGTCTTTCATGAAGTTGCAGTCTGACAGCATCTGGGCTGGAGTCATCTCAAAAGCCACCTCAGTCAAGTTTCTGTAGGCTGATGCTTGCTATGAGCTAGAACCTCACTGGGAGCTCTCAGCCAAAACACCTACACATGGTTTCTTCATATGACTGAAACTTCCACACATTATGGCACCTGGATTCTAAGAGTGAGTATCTTATGAAAGCAAATTTTGCATGGAAGCTATGCTACATTTGTGACCCAGCCTCAGAAGTCATTGAGCTAGACCTGATTTTAAAATGACATTCTAACCTCATCTCCCTGCCCCATACCCCCCAACATCTACTCCATGCCCCACTATCAAAACTAGGCTGGACAAATAAATTTTTATTAACAGATAAACGGAGTCAATGTTTTGATTCCTGTAATTATCGTTACCTAACATTCGTGATACTATTCAATGTCTATAATTTCCCACACTTAACATTTTTATTTATTTCGTTTAACATTTTTTTTTTCAGATAGGGTCTTACTCTGTCACCCAGGCTGAAGTGCAATGGCACCATCATGGCTCACTGCAGCCTCCACTCCCCAGGCTCAAGTGATCCTCTCACCTCAGCCTCTCGAGTAGCTGAGACTACAGGTGCATGCCACCACACCTGGCTTATTTTTTCTATTTTTTGTAGAGACAGGGTCTTACTATGTTACCTAGGCTGGTCTCGAGCTTCTGAAGTGATCCTCCCACCCCAGTCTCCCAAAGGTCTGGAATTACAGGCATGTGCCACTGTGCCCAGCCAACATTTTTAAATTAATAAAGAAATATTATAAAATGGCATTTAGATAGACATTTGACTTTACTTAGCTTTCATAATTTAAAAGGAGAAGTTATTAAAAAGCAGTGTTTAATCTCATTATAAACCAGATATCAGGCACATTATTAACAAGGTTGTATTAAACTTGTCAGAATATAGCAAAATGCTGTACTCCAATCTATACCTTGGGATAAGATTTAATATTCAGAATAATCAAATTTACTGGAAAAACTAAGGACTTTTGTTTTACTGTAGTTCAAGTAATTGGTTTTAAAATAATAAGTAGATATTTTAATTTAGACTACTTGTTAATATAATATACTTTCCATCATGTTCAAGGTGCTCACACAGTGACAGGTAAGTTCCTCACAGGTGTAGGGCCCCGGTAGAGAGAGAGAATGGGGACTGAAATTCAGCCTGAATTCTATTTGTCAAGTCATATGGGTTTGGTATCAGGCTGCCCGCAGTATGTGAGATGCTCTTTCAAACTTGCACAAAATTGATGCCATATTTGTTAGCACAGTCCCTGGTTATGAGGCATCATGTTATAGAGATTTCCTTCAAAGGAAAGGAGAACAGGATGTTGTAATAGAAAGGCTACTATAGTATTGGCATAAGAAAACAGATGAGGTTTGAATTCTGACCACTTATTATGACTTTGAAAGAGTGGTGCAACTTCTCTGAATCTCAGTTTCTTCATATATAGAATGGAAATATCAAATATTATCATTTAGAGTTGATTGGAGGAATAGAGCAAATATATCAGAAGCATAAAACAGTGTCTAGTGGAGGAGAAATTACTTAAATAGCACCTATCATAAATTCTAAGAAGTGCTGTCTTAGGGTTTTAATTCCTGGTTCTGTGATCTTTGATGGATACAGAGCTCTTCAAATCTATTTCAGGTACATAATTATACAACTCACTGGTTAAAGTCACAGTAGGAATAGTAAAGAAAGCAGTGTGTTATAATTCAGTTCAGGAAAAACAATCCTGAATAAAATATTCCTCACTATATGCATAAAAACTGATCCACTTGCATTTTCAAAAATTTAGTTTCTAATTTTCTACATAGTTCTCAAAATACAACCCCGTGACATAGAAGACATTATCTTTATAAGATCACATCCTGGGATAACCTCCTTCAGGCAAGAGCCATCACCCAGTGGTAAGACCCAACCCATTTAGACTCTGGCTCAATTCCAACTTTTAATAAGCCATACGTTGCTACAAATGAAATAGATTCATCAGAACAGATAAGATTCATAATTAAAAATAAAGATGAAGTTAAAAAACAATAACAGAGAGAAGGTGTATGCTTCTACTGCACAGGTTAAGAAAAAGTGTGTGTTTAGAACATAAATCTGATTGAATTATTGCTTCTTTCGATATGTACCTCTAATTATCCTGTTGTACCCCTGTTAGCTTCAAATCTTAAATAATTAATCGGAAGTACTCCAGAGCAAGAAATGACATGGCTGTTTGCTAATAAACAAGAGGTGATTTGAAATATTCTTCAGGCAAATTACAAGTATGTTTAATAGATCACTTTAATAGCGGCACAATATAACCAAAAAAAAATCTGAAATACTTAGCAAGGTTCATAAGGCTCTGTCTTGTGTCTCCTAGCTCATCTTGCATGAATATTTCTTTACTGATTATGCTCTAGACGAGCCAATTTTTGGGATCCTCAAAAAATGTAGCCTTGAGACATTTGTACAAGCTGTTCCCTGATTCACTAATGTTCTTCCTCCTGCATGTTGCATATATTATGTGTCAGCTTAAATCTCCATTCATGCAGAAGCCTTCCCTGACCATCCACAGGATTAACTATCTCAGCCATTGTGTGCTTTGTCACAATTTTCACTGCGAATGCAAATCCATGTAATTTTTTTTTTGTTTACTTGTGTATTCCCATGATTCTTCCCACTAGAATACAAGCCGTATTTGTTATCTTGGTTTGTCCAATGCCAGGCAAATAGAAGTTCCCCCGATAAAGGTTTGTTAAATGAATAAGTAAGTGAATTAGAAGATAAAACTATAAAACATTTGATTAGTTCCAAATTAATACAAACAAGGGTCTGGAGAAAATCTTTACAAATAAATATAGCATTCATATGGAAAAAAGGATAAAAATAGACATTAATAAAAGAAATAAGGAGGCATTGTCTCATAAAAGAAAATAAAGAAATAAAACACCATGTAACCAATTATATAGACTCACAGCTTCTCATTACATTGCTGTTTACAGTAATAAAAAATAAAAATTTACTTAATGGCTAATTTTATCTGTAAAAAGTTAATTGCAAACAGTCATGCCTCATCGTTAAAAATGGCTGTAGATTTGGACTTTCTATGAAGGAGCGTTGTTCAAGACATTTCTAACAGAATATCTAGAGTATGATCACTGTATGTCATAATTCTATAGCAAGGATTGAGAGTAGGAAGCTGACAAAAAACTTTCTAAAATGTTTGAGCAATGGAATTACAGGGGATTTTTCTATTCTTTATTGATTTTGCTTGCTCATATTTTCTAGCATTTTTTTATGAAAATTACGAGGGAGGAAAAAAGCTTATTTTAGCCATGTATGCATTTGCACATATCTCTTTTTTGCCACCAATTTTTTTCTGTGCAATTCAATCTCATTATCCATGTGTCTTCTCTTGACAGACATTTTACCAAGTATACTGAGACAGCATTTACCCTCAAAGATCTCATAGTCATATTGAAGATAAAGCTATATAAAAGAATAATTATACTCATTTTCGTGCATGTGATAAATCTAAGAAATGTGATACAGAGGTAGCAGAGAGAAGGGAGTCTCCCTTGGAGAAAAGTGCTCAGTTTCTCAATATTTTTATTTATTTATTTTAACTCACAAATAAAAATTGTATATCTTTATAACCTTGGAATCTAGCCTTTTGTCCTGACAGGAAAGCCACTCATGCTTCTTATATAATGCAACTTAAAAATCTTCAACAGGAAGAGGTTAGAAGCCTTGATATTTAAGATACTGGATCCTAAGGCACTATTCCAGAATGCAGGGGGCAGTAGAGGCCACATACCTTTTAGTGAGTATCCCCATAAATAGCTATGATATTCACCCCCTTCAAACTTTTGAATTTCAGATGAATGATAAATAATTTTTGTACCATAAGTATGTCCAGATGTTACATGGACATAATTATGCTAAGTAATTGTGTGTTATTTATCTGAAATTCAAATGTAACAGGATGTCTTGTGCTTTTACGTGCTAAAAATGACAACTACACCTACTTTATTAGCCTTGTCGAGGAAATGGAGTCTGGAAGATACTGGAGATCCCTCTTTGACAAAGCAGAGTTGCCTGCCTTACTCTCCTTCTCATATCACATCCACCTAAAAAAATTTAAGTAAGAATGTTAGCCCACTTCCAACCCCTACTGTTAGGCTCTGGCAGAGACTGGAGCCAATAACAGTATGCCCTAATCCATGTGCAAGTTATGGAAGTTACAGTAGAGTTTTAAAGTATAAACAAGCTGGAAATCCCAGAAGCAGAAAGAGCAAACAGTACTACTGACAGAAAGACTTAACTTAGAATGAAAGCTAATCGTGCTCCATTTATTTTTATTATAATTATAGTTCTGCACATATTTTCATTTGAAAAAAATGGGCAAGTGTCCCTTCATGTTACTGTGGAGTTTACTATCAAGATATTATCTTAATCTCCTAAAATGTAATCTTAAGTGCAATACATGTGATAACCACAAAGCCTGTAAATTATGCCTATTATAGGAAATTGAATTTGCTCATGTAAACTTGAAATGAGCTCACTAGGCTTTGCAGAAATCAACTTAGTATTCCAAAAATGAACTTACCAGCACCACCCCCATTCTTTATACACAGTGTGGCTCCTTTTTTACTCAGAAAGCATTTAAATCTTTGAGCTAACTTTCTCTTTTGAAGAACTGCTTGTAATATATGACATTTGAATTCTTACCTAATTCTTATCTACAGTACATTTTCCCACAGATTCAGACATAAAATGAAAAAAAAGGGGGATATTTCCTAAGGATAAGCAAATGATACCTATTTTATCTCCTGCTCCTCTCTCCTTCCATTTTCTCTGAATCCCTGGGAACAGAAATTGGCTTTTTCTTTTAGTTCTCCTAAGCCACGACTTCCTTCTACAGAAGAAATAGTATTGATGTCATACACAAAATGGGTACTTATCTACACTGTCTCAAACTATAACATGGGGCTTTATTACTTGATCCTAGGTATCCTAAAATGGAAAGGGAAGAGAAAAAGGAATTTGGAAAAATCTATCCAAGATATATATATATATATTTATTTATTATATTATATATATTTAATATTATATATTTATTATATTATATATTTAATATTATATATTTAATATATTATATATTTAATATTATATATTTAATATATTATATATTTAATATTATATATTTAATATATTATATATTTAATATTATATATATAATATATTATATATTTAATATTATATATATAATATTATATATATAATATTATATATTTAATATTATATATATAATATTATATATATAATATATTATATATTTAGTATTATGTATTTAATATATTATATATTTAGTATTATGTATTTAATATATTATTTATTTAGTATTATATATTTAATATATTATTTATTTAGTATTATATATTTAATATATTATATATTTAATATATTATATATTTATTATATATTGTATATTTAATATATTATATATTTATTATATATTATATATAATTATATATTTAATATACTATATATTTATTATATATAATATACATTATATATATAATTTATTTCCCCCTCTCTCATTACTATATTTTTCTATACCTTCCTTCCTTAGTAAAACTTATTTCTTTTAACCTTAATTTTCTCCCAAAGTAATGGAGTAATGGCTATCTCAGGCAGGGAAAGGTCAATGTTACAAGCTCACAATGCTAAATAAGAAAATCCAGTAAAAATTTTAAAATATCATTCCTATTATATCATCAAGGAAAAGAGAAATGTGCTCATTTTTAAAGCTTTAAAGACAATATACAATTCCTAATAGTAGCATATCCATAGACTGTAAGCTTACACTACACTCATCCCCCTTGGACATTCTGTGGACTTAGAAAAAAATGTATTGCAAGCTGTCTTTCAGAACTTAACAATCTTATAAGTAGAGGGACTTTTGTATTCAATAATGTAAACAATTTTTAGCTACTTTGAGAACCTGTGGTCTTATTCTGATGAATAAACTACCCAAAAGAAAGTTAAATTCTCAGAAGGGAAAACTGTAAAAGTAAAAGTTTTACAGTGTTTCACTGAACAGCTGTACCAATTCTGAAACTTTTCTCAATATATTCAAATGAGGAACTCATTAACAAGGCAAAGAATTCTGGGAAGAATTCTGCTGTATAGTTAGAAGATAAGTGAATCTTAAAACAATTTCAAGAAACAATATACAATTAAACTGCCATATGTGTTCCCTCTGTATGAGTGATACATGATCCATAATGAGGTAAGTGCCACAACATTTTCTAGACTTTTAATTTTTATTACAAAAGTCTTCCAGACATTCTGAGGGATGTTAAAATTAGTTGTTCTTTAAAAAACAAAACAAAAAAAACACTAATTTTCTTAAAAGTTTTTTTGTAGGCTTTGAGAAAAATGTTTATTTTAGACATTGAGGCATATACCATCAGTCACAATTAATTACTATAATATCTGTTGTCCCTTTTTAGGCTCAAGTAAAAAAAAAAAAGAAAGAATGACACTTTAATTGGTGAATCAGGTGAGTTAATTTAACCCAAACATCTGAAAGTTGTTCCTAGATGATTTTTGGCTACAAGCAAAAGTGCCCTCTTGTAAACAGGATCTTGCTGTGTCTCTATCAACTCCACAGTGTTCCTAGATATGCACTGATTCTACAAATGTCTACTGAGTGCCTAGTTTGAGCCAGGAATATTTACAAAAACAAGGAATGAAGAAGTGAACAAATAGCAAAAATTCCTTATTTTCATGGAGTTCACAATCCGTGATATAGGTATCAGATAGGTGGGTATAGACAAACTGATAAATACATAAATTATCTGGGAACATTAAAGACAAAGAAAGATAGTGTTGTGGGTTGGGTGGGTGCTCTGGGTACAATTTTAAGTAAGATTTAAAAGGTAGGGGCTACACTGAGAAAGTGACTCGAAAAAAACACTGAAGAGTATGAGTGAACAGTCCACATAGATACATGAAGGAAGAATGTACTTGACAGAGGCTGTAGCCAGTACAAAATCAATGAGATGGTGTGTACCAAATTT
The DNA here is from genome assembly GCF_000001405.40 of Homo sapiens. Taxonomy (NCBI): domain Eukaryota; kingdom Metazoa; phylum Chordata; class Mammalia; order Primates; family Hominidae; genus Homo; species Homo sapiens. The sequence continues at coordinate 57,457,424 of NC_000002.12, forward strand.
TGAAGAGGATGTGAAAAATTGGAGTTCTCATACATTTTGTGGAAACCTAAGCATTATAACCAGTTTGGCAAATGTCTTCCATTTCTTTATAACACTCAATATATACTTATCCTATAGCTCACTGATTCTAGTCCAAAATATTTACCAAGAGAAAGAAAAACATATGTCTGCTAAAAGATTAGTACACAAATGTTCAAAGATTTATTCATAGTAGCACAAAATTGGAGAAAACACATAGGTCCATCAACTGGTAAATGAATTTTAAAAATCTGTCGTATATTTATACAATGAAACACTACACAGCAATGAAAATGAATGAACTATTTATAAGTAAGTAAGATGAGCGAAATTGGAAAACTTTATACCGAGTATAAGAAGCCTTACAAAAATTATTTCATTTATTTGAAATTCCAGAAAAAGGAAACTAATCTGTGGGAGACTGAGGGGAATATCAGAGCAGGAGTTGCAGTTGGAAGAACGGGGGTACGGGTTGACTGGGAAAAGGTATTAGGAAACATTCTGTGGACAGTTTTATGTCTCAACAGGGGTTTAGTTTACATAATTGTATGCAATTTTCAAAATTCATGAAAAGACGTACTTAAATTTTTTGCATTTCTTTGTAGCTACATTTTACGTCAAAAGAAAAAAATTAAATTCTAATGAAATTTAGAATGCAATGTCTAGTTAATGATATTCATGCTGAGTAGTGAAGAGTATTGTTGTCTGCAACGTGCTTTAAAGTATATACACATGCATGTATACAGGCACCCACCACCATGCCCAGCCAATTTTCGTATTTTTAGTAGAGACAGGATTTCGCCATGTTGCCCAAGCTGGTCTTGAACTACTGACCTCAAGTGATCTGCCCGCCTCAGCCTCCCAAAGTGCTGGGATTACAGGCGTGAGCCACCACACCTGGCCGACTCTGTGAGGTGATTTCTATAAAGTTATTTGAGAATTTCTGAAGTTCATTCTATGAAGTCATTTCTCATTGGAGCTTTAGTCTGTTTATTTTTTTCTAATTATTAATGATGTTGAGTATCTTATGTGACTATTGGTCATTTGGACAGTTTTAGTGAAGTGTCTTTCAAATCTTTGGCCAATATTTTAAATTGGGTTGTTTGCCTTTTTGAGTTTTAGGGGTTCTTTTTGTATTCTGCAATTGCTTTGTCAAATATATTAATTATGAATGCTTTTTCCCAGTCTGTGGTTTATTATTTAATTCTTTAATAATGTCTTTTGAAGAAGAGATGTTTTTAATTTTGAATAACTCAATTTATCATCTTCTATTTCTTTTAAGCACAATGTTTTTTGTGTCCTAGCTAAACAATATTTGCCTAACCCAAAGTTGTAAATATACACATCTATATTTTATTCTATATTATTTAGAGCTTTATCTTTCTTTTAATCTATTATCTAGCTTTAATTTTTTACATGGTAAGAGGTCAAAAATCAAGATTTTCTATATTTATTTGTTTTCAATATGGCTGTATTAGTCTATTTTCACACTGCTGTAAAGAAATACCTGAGACTGAGTAATTTATAAAGAAAAGAGGTTTAATAGGCTCACAATTGAGCAGGCTGTACAGGAAGCATAGTGGCTTCTGCTTCTGGGGAGACCTCAGGAAACTTACAATCATGGTGGAATGTGAACGGAGAGCAGGTGAGTCTTACATGGCCTAAGCAGGAGCAAGAGGGATGTGGGGGAGGTGCCACACAGTTTTAAACAATCAGATCTCATGAGAACTCACTATCACGAGAACAGCATCAGGAGATGGTGCTAAACCATTCATGAAGGACCACCCCCATGATCCAATCGTCTTCCAACAGGTCCTACCTACCTCCAACACTGGGGATTACATGTTAACATGAGATTTGGTGGGAACACCGATCCAAACCATATCAATAGCTACCTAAATGTTCCAGCATTATTTGTTGAAAATACTTTCTACTCTTTCTTTAAACTCATTTATTTATAAAGGTAGATATTCTGAAGGAATTAGCTCTAATCTGTCTCTTACTACCCTTTCTTCATACATGTTTTTGCTTATTGTCATAATTTTCAATGAAATGTATATACTGATGATACCTAAATTTATATCTTTACTTGAATCTTCTCCCATAGGCCTCCAGATAAATAAATTCAACTGTCTATTCGACATTGTCTAATGAATGTTTCAAAGACATCTTAAATTTAACATGGCCAAAGACAAAGCCTTTATTTCCCCAATTACAGAATTTTCCTTGCACATGAGTTTTCCTTATCGCCGTAAATATTGTTAAGTATGCTCCCACAAACCTAGGAGCTATTCTTAATTGGTTTCATTTTTTTTTTATCATTCTCACCTAATATCAGTAAATCTTGAAAATTCTTTCTCCAATATGATCTCAAATCCAACTACTTTTTAGAATCTGTTTTGCTGCCACTTCATTTTGCTTTGCAGTTTGAAGTTAACAAGCAGCATGGTTAACAGGCTGCTATAGTAGCCCAGGTAAAAGATCATTGTGAATAGAGATTTCACAATTGCCCCCTTTCCAGCTCATTCCTCCTGAAGCAACAAATGGGGTAATCTTAAAATACACATTGTATTATGTAATCCCCCTACCTAAAACTCTTCAATAAGTTTTACTCAATATGCTAAATAAACGTGTTGAGCATCTGATGTTTGTCAGGCATTTTTCAAACACATGGGATGTAATGGTACTTACAAAAAGACAACATTCATGACTTCATTAAATTTATGCTCATCCAGTGTTCACACACCCATGCATGCACATGCAAACACAATTATAAAATATTACTTTTGCAAATATACAGAGAAGTAATGAATCCTGTGCTATGGATGTCATATAAGTGAAATTTGATATGGTCAGGAAACAAAACAAGGATCCTCAGAATACTGATTCTTTAGTTGAAATCTGAGATGTCAGCACACATTATTTTTTAAAAAGAAGGACTCAGGCAGAAAACTCTATATGTGTAAATGTGCAGATGTGAGGCATAAGAAAGCATGACAAGGACAAGGTGATGGAAGGACAGATAGCCAGGACAGAAAGCAAAAAAGAATTAAATGAGTTTGGAAAAAAGGCATGAGCCAAGCCTACCAACCTTGTTAAGTAGTTGTTTTCTCTTCCCTAAAATAATGGAGAACAACTTGAGAAAGTTCACCAGTGTGGAGAATTCACTGGGAAGTGAATGTTGACAGAGCATTGGAAGGTTTCAGCAACTGTCTAGAGAAAGTTGAATAGTGGCTTTTCCTGCCCTGGGACCCTTACACATTCTTCCTCAATGATCTCCTCCATTGCTCCTACCCATTTGTCAGATCTCAGATTAAATACTTTCTTTTAAATGAAGGCATTCTCTAACCATCAAAAAAATAGAATGTTTTTCATTCATACTCATTGTTTTCTAGCATCACTCTGTTTGTTTGGTTGTTATTTCAACAGCCCTTCCACATTTTGTAATGGTCACTTCTTGTTTCTTTGTTTATTTCTATCTGCATCACTGGAATGTATGTACCAAGAGAGCAAGGATTATGTCTGGTTTTTTTTTTTTTCCAGCTTGTAAGTCATCAGCACATGCCACAGTGGCTGCTTCATGATATTAGATTTCCTCCTTTCACAGTGTATGTGCCACCTCAGCTTCAACATGTCAAATTAAACCTTTCAACAATGGTTCTGCATGTACATGTCGGGTGCTTAGCAAGGTAATGGGGCAGAACAATTACCTCCAAGACCGTGGTGCTGTATAGGAAAATGGTTTAGAGCAACAGTTCTGGACCAGGCTGCTTGGATTTCAACTTCAGTTATGCTACTTTCCTGCTATGTGATGTTAGGTAATTTACTTAGCATCTCTGGACCTCAGATGCATCATGTGTCAAACAGTGATATTAAGAGTTCCTCATAGCATTGTGTAAGAAATAAAAATAACAGTAATTCTTAGATATTATTCATTCTACTGGGCAAAGCAGAAATTTAAATAGAATTAACAGTATATTACAAATATGATGTGTGTCAAGAGGGAGAGTTACAGGATTTTTGAGAGTGTGCAACAGAATGATGTTTATTATAATATAACAAGTGCTCCTGCTATTTAGAGGAAAGAGAGAACCTGGCTTTATTTCATATTAAGACTCATTCTGCCAATGCATGTTAAGTAATTGAACTCAAAAGAACCTACAGTCATTGCTGAATGTGTGTATATGTGTGTATTGTCATCAGATTTCACATATACTGTATCCGCTGTGTAATTTATCTACTGAAAGATGCTCTGCATAACAAACATCTCCTAAGCTGAGAGGCTTAAAATAGCAGTCATTTATTCTCACTAAGTTTGAGTTGCTTGAGGGCGGGCCAATCTAGGGTGGGCTTGGCTGCGACAGCTCTATACCTCATGTTTCTCTTTCTGCTCCTAGAACCAGCTGGCTAGTTAACATGTTTCCCTCCTGGCAAGGGCAGAAGTGAAAACAAACAGAAGCCTGCATGAACTCCTGAGGCCTAAATTTTGAAGTGGCACATTGTCGTTTTGTATCATTTTATCAAGCAAAGGGAGTCACTGAGCTGAACTCAAAGTCAAGGGGTGGGAAAATAAACACCACCCCTCTTATGGAAAGAGCTGTAAATTATACAGCAAAGGGCTTGGTTATAGGAATGCATGAAAAATTGGGGTTTGATTACAGGGAGGGATGAAGAATAATGCAATTTACCAAATCTGCTGTTTGTTCTTCATTATTTCTGAATAGAGACAGGAATGCTAAATGTTAATGCTAAAGAAATATAGGACAACATATATTCCTCTATCATGTGATTACAGGTAATCATAAGTAGTCTTTTAACTAAAATGGACATGAAGGAGGAATAAAAAAGAATAAGGCAATACTTTCTTGAAAGTTTAAAATAAATTCCACTACTTACAACTATTTTGTAGATATATGGGAGAATAAAGAAATGAAACATCTTATGCAACATATGATTACAGCTGTTATTCCTTTCACAAAATGTTCTCCTATTGTGCAGGATATTTTTAGTAAGATAAAGTCATTTTTCATTTTTCTTCTTATCTCAATTCAAGATCCATTTCTTATGGGATTACTTTGGGCAGCCAAGTATTTTACAGTTAGATGGTGCCCTTTCAGGACCTTTCCTAACATAAAAGACACTTTTTAAAAAATAGTTTTATTCTGTATTCTGTAATTGCTTCCATTTCAGGCTCATTTTTCTCAGGCTGTATAAGGGAATCTAATCAAGTTTAGCAACTGAATTGTGTGCTATGTCTTCAATCTTAAAATAACCACTTTCCTTTTCATTAGAAAATCTGGGTATTTTTATTATTTTTTCCCAATTTTTATGTTTCCTCTAACCTTTGCAAGACCACTGTATAGGGCAGTACATTCAGCTGCGGATTTTAGTATAAAAACTTACCAAAGTAGGGTTATTCCAATGTCTTCTTTCACCTAAGAGCAATTGCTTTATGTAACATATCAAAAGGAAAAGTAACATTTCTAAATGGTATTTTAATTATTTGAAATGCCCAGTTGTCCAAAAATAAAAGAGAAATAGTCTCTCTGAAAGCATGTTTGCTTATTTTAGTACATATATCTTTATTTATTTTATTGTATATATTTATGGGATAAAATGTGACATTTTGATATATGTG